>NT_187612.1:0-178921 GCF_000001405.40 Homo sapiens | reverse complement strand
GACGACGCACCTCCTCTGCTCATGGCCCCCACCTGCCCCGCCCCCAGTGCCTCTCCAAGGCTGCTCTGTTGGCCTCGGCTCCTGGGCTTCGGGGGAGCGGTGGAAAGAACACGTGGGTTTGGTGTTTGCCACTTGCTGGCTGTGTGGTCACGAGAGGCTCCTCCGTAGGTGGCAGAGGTGGGGGTTCGAGGAGACAGTGGCACTGAGCCCCGCACGCGGCGGGACTGGTGACTCTCTGCCCGCTCCTGCTCTGTGCAGCAATTGCCGTCCCTCCCACCACGGTTCCTGGTGGCCTTGGGATGGGTTCCCGGGGGTCTCCTGCTGTCCGGCCCCAACTCCTGTTCCCAGTGCGCCCCCGGAGCCCTGTCTCTCTAAATGAGGCTGACGTGGCTTGGCCTGAAGGCCCTGCCCCGTTACTCTGGGTGCATAGTGTATGCCTTTTTCTTCATAACTATTTCTGGGAAAGAAAAATATGCTCCATTTTATTATTGTTCCATATTAGAAGACAGACATTGTGGAAGGAATAATCAGGTTATCCATTCAGTTTCTTAGTTGTAGTGGTAGTAAAGTGATGCGTGTATCTGACAGATGATGGTGAGCAGGCGTGCTGGAAAGGAGTAGCATGACTTAGGGGTTCTTTTGGTTTGGTTCGAAAGTCATTGCTGTGCCGAGATCTCAGGGTGACCCGCTGTGTCCCTGGTCAGGTCCTTCTCTGACCTCAAGGGTGACCTGCTGTGTCCTTGGCCGGGTGCTTCTCCAACCTCAGGGCGACCCGCTGGGTCCCTGGTCAGGCAGGGGCTGCTCTGACCTCAGGGTGACCACGGTGTCCCTGGTCAGGTGCTTCTCCGACTTCAGAGTGACCTGCTCTGTCCCTGGCCGGGGGCTTCTCCGAGCAGAGCTGCTGTGCGCTCACCGTGCTGCCTTTGTTTTAGGATGCAGCAGTCTCGGCCCTGGCTGCTCTATGCAGTGAATATTACATGAAGGAGCCGGGGGAGGCAGATCCCGCAATTCAGGGTGAGTGGGGAGCCCTTTTCTTGAAGACTCCAGGGGCTTCCAGCAGGAAGCTGCTGGGGAGTGTCTGGGCACGGAGGAGGCCTCGGTTGTGCAGTGGAGCAGAGCCACCACGATCATGGCTGGAGTGGGACTGTTCGGGTCTCAGGTTCCCAGCCGAGGAGCTGTGGGCAGGTCCTGCAGCTGCCCAGGATGTTGCATCAGCTCTGAACAGGTGGCTCAGCAGGGACGCGTCTCTGTTGACGGCACCCTCTTGCTCCATCACCCAGGCTGGAGTGGTGTGGCGTGATTCGGCTCACTGCAACCTCTGCCTCCTGAGTTCAAGCAATTCTTGTGCCTCAGCCTCCTGAGTAGGTGGGACTACAGGTGCCTGCCACCATACCCGGCTAATTTTTGTATTTTTAGTAGAGACGGGGTTTTACTGCATTGGCCAGGCTGGAATCGAACTCCTGACCTCAGGTGATCCACCTGCCTCAGCCTCCCAAAGTTCTGGGATTACAGGTGTGAGCCACTGCACTCGGTCAGTGTTTTTAGAATTTTTGTATGCACCGTGACATTTTTCTGCTGTGTGTTTCACTCGTTAATACATTTTGCTGTTTTTTCCTTCTTTATGAAAGTAGCATTAGGCTGGCTTTACGCCGTGTCCCGTGCGTAGCTGCTGTGCCGCCTCACTGTACATCCTGCACCCCCGTGCTGAAGTTCAGGCTTGCTTCTCGCACATCATGTTCGAGGGATCTGCTTCATGAATCGTACTTTTATTTTTAAAGTGTCACATGCACATATGTTGGCCCACAGTGTTCCTTTATGTCATATGATAGAACATGCATTATTAATCACGTCAAAAGTGTGTGAATCACCACTTAAAATTATTATAAGTATATAAAAATCATGCATTAGCTTGGCATGGTGGCACACACCTGTAATCCCAGCTACTTGGGAGGCTGAGTGTGGGGTTGAGGCTGCAGCGAGCTAAGCTTGCACCACGGCACTCCAGCCTGGGTGACAGAATGAGACTCTCTCAAAAAAAAAATTCTCTTTCTGATTCCTATTTTGAGGTAGGCCACTTTGGAAACGTGTCTGCTTTGGGAACCTCAGGCGGCTCCTCCTTTGTTCACTGTGGCTTTGCTCCTGTTTGGGGCACACGTCGGGTGTGGCTGTACACGATGGGCAGCAGAGGGCCTCTCTTCACACTCGTTGCTTCCTTTCAGAGGAGCTGATCACGCAGTACCTGGCTGAGCTTCGGAACCCCGAGGAGATGACTCGCTGTGGCTTCTCGTTGGCCTTGGGCGCCCTTCCAGGCTTCCTTCTGAAAGGCCGGCTCCAGCAGGTGAGGCTGGCCACGCGCAGTGGACGGGGCCTAGGGCGAGGGTGTGGGAGCCTCGTGTGTTGGGGCATGAGGTAGGCCCAGCCGTTAATAAACCCATCAGTGCTTGTAGCTGGGAGGGGGTTCCTGGAAACCGGCACCTGTGGCCAGGAGGAAGGGGGCAGAGGGCACCCAAGGTCTGTGGCCCCTTAGGGCCCTGGCGAACCCTTTGCTGTCAGAGGACAGACTTGAAAAAGCTGAATTCTGGGAGGGAGGAGAAGGTGTTGTTTGTAGAAGCAGCTGCCGAGAGTGAGGAGAACACAGTTGCCTTTGTGCGTTGTGGAGCCGGGTCCTGTTTTGGTTGCGGCCGTGCATCCTGCATCCAGGTCGGGGCAGAGGTGGTTCCACGTCCTCCCAGAGGTCAGCCCCACGCTGGCCTCAGTGACCTGCTCTCTCACGCTTTCCTGTGGTGCTGGTCCCACTGACCAACCTGCCGGGAACTCCTGCTTGTCTCCCCTCCGGCCACCTGGCGTCTGAAGCTGGAATAGGCCCTGGCCACTGGGTTCCCCACGCCCTTCCCTCCCCATGGGATCCAGCCTTGGCACTTCAGGATCTGCAGCTCCAGACGGACTCCTGCCTGTGTGGCGGGTGGGCCTCGCAGCCGCCATGCCATCTAAAACTCGCATGTGGGGGTTTATCCAGTTGAAACACAGATAAATGTGAAACAGGATCACTTGGAGATATGACAGATGAGGTTGTCGGGACCCAGCAGCTTCCTTTGTCAATACCCCAGGTCTCAGCGTAGGACAAAAGGGGGGGACCTCAGGTAGGGTGTGGCCAGACCCCCAGTGACACCCTGGGGTGGGGGCTGGCCGTGGAGAGGCTGGAGGTGACCTCTCCCCGGGTGTCCTTCCTGGGTTGTACTGGGGGCCGTGGAGAGGCTGGAGGTGACCTCTCCCCGGGTGTCCTTCCTGGGTTGTACTGGGGGCCGTGGAGAGGCTGGAGGTGACCTCTCCCCGGGTGTCCTTCCTGGGTTGTACTGGGGGCCGTGGAGAGGCTGGAGGTGACCTCTCCCCGGGTGTCCTTCCTGGGTTGTACCGGGGGCCGTGGAGAGGCTGGAGGTGACTCCTCCCCGGGTGTCCTTCCTGGGTTGTACTGGGGGCCGTGGAGAGGCTGGAGGTGACCTCTCCCCGGGTGTCCTTCCTGGGTTGTACCAGGGGCCATGGATGGCCGTGAGGAAGGTGGTGCCAGGAGCTGCCTATCTCATGGTGTGGGGTCTGTGGCTCCGGGCCAACATTGCCACCTCCCTAAAGAGTGCACTTTGTTATAGCTTATGGTTCTTCTGTGATTCTTTATTGCTTTCCAGGTTCTCACAGGTTTAAGAGCAGTTACCCACACTTCCCCCGAGGACGTAAGTTTTGCTGAGTCCAGGAGAGACGGCTTGAAGGCCATTGCGAGGTGAGTCCCAACAGTTCCTCCCTAAAGTCGTAAGTCTCTGAAAGGCCAGCAGATGAACGCTAAGGGGGATGTTTTTGCTCAGAGGCAGGACTTATGATTCTTCACTTCCTAGGTTTCCTCTCTTCCAGAGGATCGTCAGTCCCAGCTGCTGGAGGCTCTTTCATTCTCTTGCTGTCATAGTCGTAGTGAATGTTAAACTTCTTTAGGGACACTGGGCCCCTTGGAGAATTGGAGAATGTGTCCTGGCCCAAGGTTGGCAAAGAGGAGCTGACCCTGCCAGCCAGTGTTTGGAATGATCTCTGCACTCGTTGACAGACACGCACCTGGGGCCACGCCATATGCCCTCTCCTCCCTGCAGGCACACAAGAGGAGCAGTCCCGCGGGGGCCACGCACGCCCCCTTCTCTCCTATGCCAGCATCCGTTCCCTCTAGTCAGGGTGGGAAGTGGGAGGGACCAGCCGCAGGGGGCGTCCCCATCCACCTTTCAACCGGAGAGACGGCAGAGCGTGACCTCGGGGAAGCACGTCCCACGTTCCATACATGTGGAAGGAGCTCTGTGTTTCTGATCTACCCGAGGGTCCTGGACTGTTCTGAGCGTGTCTTCTCAGGATCAGGAACACACATCAGCCCTCTGCGATGTGGAAGATGAGGCTCACCGATGTTTGTTTGTTAGCTCACACATTTTAAATTTCAGGATTTGCCAGACTGTTGGTGTGAAAGCAGGAGCCCCAGACGAAGCTGTGTGCGGAGAGAATGTTTCCCAGATTTACTGTGCGCTGCTGGGCTGCATGGACGACTACACCACGGACAGCAGAGGGGACGTGGGCACCTGGTACGTACGTAGCAGTGGGTGAGCGCTTCTTCTGAGAAGCCCATCTATTCCGTGGAAACTCGGAGGCCCCGGGCTTTTCTGCAGGGAGAAATCTTTGTAGATTTGTGCCGTGTTTTGCGTTTTAAAGGCTCTGGGGAAGATGACCTGTTCTCTGCTCCCGGGTGAGCCTGCGTGGCAGGGCTTTGCAGGTGCTTGTCCAGCCCGTCCTCAGGTGTTGGGCCTGTGTCGTCCTCGTTGACAGGGTGTGAGGGAGGACGCGTCTTCAATGAAAGGCTGCCGGCTGCTTACATTGGGTTTTGCCAACATTTCTTGCTGTAGTGGGATTGATAACCCCTGAAACGCCTGTGTGTGTAGGATGCCTCGGGGCCCCGGTGTGTGTGGCTGTGGGTGGCTCCCTGCACACGTCCCTGTAGCGCACAGGGAACCTCTGCAGGCCCCGTGACTCCCTGGCAGCGTGCCTGGGCTCTGTGTGGGGTTAGTCACGGGTGTCGAATTCACACAGGCTGCCGGCGTGGTGGGCAGAACCAGGGTTGGAACCCCCCTCTCAAGCTGGGTGTCTCTGCCTCTCCTTGTCCCATCAGGGTCCGCAAGGCCGCCATGACCAGTCTGATGGATCTGACACTTCTGCTGGCTCGGAGCCAGCCTGAGCTGATCGAGGCCCATACGTGAGTGTCACGTCGCAGCTCTTCTGCATCCTAGAGGGCAGCCCCGAGCTTGGGGAGGCTGGCGGGGCGGGCGGTCCTGGTGCTCAGTGGCATTTGCACTGCTGGGCACACACCCTCCTCCCAGAGAGCCTCTCTGGTCCCTGACCCCAGGTTTGTGCAGGCCCCTCCTCCTGCCCCCATAGCCATGGCGTGAGCTGGGGCCCATCCTCCTCTGCCCAGTGCCCCCAGGACGAGGCTCTGCTCCCCAGCCTGGGCCTCCAACGGTGCTCTGGCCAGTTTGATGACAGCCAGCTTCCCGGGGTAGGGCCGGGCAGGAGGTGGGGACTTCTCAGCTTAGGACCCTGAACCTGGGGGTCTGCTCCTGCCAGGACCAGCTGAGCCATCACTCAGTTCCCTGCACCTGAGGCTGCCATTGGGGCCTGCCCTTGCTGTGTGTCTCTGTCGGGGGCACTGGGTTGTGGGTACCCCCAGGCCCTGCCCTTTCTGTCGGTCTCTCTGTCGGGGGCACTGAGTCATGGAGGTCCAGGCCCTGCCCTTGCGGATCTCTGTCAGGGGCACTCAGTCAGGGGGTCCAGGCCCTGCCCTTGCGGGTCTCTGTCGGGGGCACTGAGTCATGGGGGTCCAGGCCCTGCCCTTGCTGTCAGTCTCTCTGTCAGGGACACTTGGCCGTGGGGATCCCAGGGCCTGATTTCCTTAGTTCTCACCTCTTTCTCTTTCCCCCTCCCCATCTCTTCCCCAGCCCCAGCTTCTCTCTCCCCATCCCCGGCCTCTCTGTCCCCATCACTCTTCTCCACCCGCTCCTGTAATCCTATTTGTTGTCCCTGCTTCAACCCTAAGACCTCATCAGCACGCATGTAACACGTAGCACATGTGTAACAAGTACGTAGCATGTATTTGCTGCGCACCTGTAGGGTTGGGCTCCTGGGATGTGAAGGTAACGGAGTGTGGTTCTTCCGAGCCAGTGTCCTGGTGTCAGCTGCCAACTCAGCCACCATGTCCCGAGGAGCCCGCATGTCCTCGTGGTGCTTGGGCTGGAGTCACGGCTCGGACCGCCTGTGCTCAGTTTACCGCCCGCTCTTAATTTACCGCCCGCCCTTGGTTTACCTCCTGCTCTCGGTTTGCAGCTGTGAGCGCATCATGTGCTGTGTGGCCCAGCAGGCCAGTGAGAAGATTGACCGTTTCCGTGCTCACGCCGCCAGCGTGTTCCTGACGCTCCTGCACTTTGACAGCCCTCCCATCCCCCACGTGCCCCACCGAGGAGAACTGGAAAAGCTGTTTCCCAGGTACTGTCGGGGTGTAGGCCCCCCGTGCTGGCCCCGCAGCCATGGCGAGATCATTGGCAGCCCGGCCTTGTCTCACTCACTCTCTTGCAGGTCCGACGTGGCCTCCGTGAACTGGAGTGCACCTTCCCAGGCCTTCCCACGCATCACCCAGCTCCTTGGGCTGCCCACCTACCGCTACCACGTCCTGCTGGGGCTAGTCGTGTCCCTGGGCGGCTTGACGGAGTCGACGGTGAGGAGGCGTCGGGCTGGCTGGGGCAGGAGGTGGCTCCAGGAGTGCCTGGTGCTTCCCTGTCTCTTGGGAGCGTGTATGGAGCTGGGCCTTTTCTTCCATTGCTTTCTATCTCTCTCGGGCATATTTGGTTAGGGGGTCAGGGGCCCAGTGTCTTCCTCATGACCCAGGAGGCTTAGGGCCTGTGGGATGGTTGAGTCTGATGAAGGTGGGACAGGGCCAGCGCCACTCTCTTCCTGCGGCCGCAGCCTTGGAGCTCCCAGCGTCCCCTCGGGGTTCAATCCTCCAGGACCTGTGTCTGATGCCTGCATGTGGGTACCTGGGCTCCATCAGGTTCTAGATCGGCCTCCGCCCTCCACTTTCAGGGCTCCAGGCCCAGCTTCTCATGTCTGTGGGGAGGGTCTCCAGAGCCTTGGTCTGTGGCTGAGCTGTGGAACTTGAAGGCCTCTCTGCATCTTGTCACTCGTGGCCCCTGCACCTTGGGTCATGACCTGCTTTATGTGGCAACCCTGTGACAGCTGCTAAGTCCTAGAAAACACGTAACAGGACGTGAGGTGCCCTCTGCGCCGTGTGGGCGCGTGCGGGGAGACCCGGGCCCCAGGACGTGAGGTGCCCTCTGCGCCGTGCGGGCGCGTGCGGGGAGACCCGGGCCACATGCGAGCGGGGCCCCGAGACATTCTGCACTCGGGAATTGCGGGGATTATCAAATCCCGCTTCAGTGGGAAACGTGAGCGAAACCCAAGGTGAGTGGCCGCAGCCTTTCGTCACGTGCTCTCCCGCATGTCCTGAGTGAGGGCTCAGGCTGAGCTGCCGTTGCCGAGAGCCTTGTGTCTGCTTCGGGTGTCTGCACTGTGAGTGGCTCCGTGCTGGCGTCCGCACCAGCCGCTTGGGGCCAGACCTTCGCGTCTCTGCAGCTCGGAGCAGTTCTGCTCTTCAGCAGATGCTTGACCGGCTGTAGCCAAGCCTGAGGGGTGGCAGGCTCGGGGGTCCCACTGCCTTCTGAGGTGTCTCCGTGTTGCAGATCCGGCACTCCACCCAGAGCCTCTTTGAGTACATGAAGGGCATTCAGAGCGACCCGCAGGCCCTGGGCAGCTTCAGCGGGACCCTTCTGCAGATCTTTGAGGACAACCTTCTGAATGAGAGGTGAGTGGTGTCTCTTGGGGCCTCAGAGGCGTGAGTGGTGCTGGTGCCTCTCACCACGTTCCCACAGATTCCCGGGGTCTCGCAGGGTCTGTCTGGGGTCTGAAGGGAGAAGCGAGACACACGCTGTACCAGTTGGTGGCTCAGCGAGGAAGATGTGCCTGCAGCATATGGTTCTCCGGGCGGCCAGGCCTCAGCCCCTGCGCCTCCTCTTCTAGCCTCCACATGAGGCAGGGAAATGACCGTTGTGTGTACAATGGACGTAAAGGTAGTATGAGTACAAGGTGGTCCCTGTGTGTAGGAAGGCGTTGTGGGAGCTCCTCCAGCTTGGTGCTCCCACGGACGTGCTTGCGGACGCTCATCAGCCACCCGGCAAGTGAGAGCTCTGCGTTCCTGAGGATGGAATGTCAAGTGAGAAACATCGCTGCTTTCTAGAAGTTTCTGGCTTTACATGGAGGCAGAGTATAGACCCTGTGGGCCTTGACCTCAGAATTGGGAACATCCTCTGGAAGGGTTGTTCCCAGCATGTGCGAGGACGAGGACACGGGCCTGGTGTCCCCTCGGGCGGGGCCTCGGCAGCCTCTCCCATGAGAGCACAGATGCCGCTCTCGGCAAACAGGAACTCGGCCCAGCCATGTTTTCTTTTCTCGTTACGACTATAATCAGCTGCACATAAAGGGGCAGTTCGATCGATTTTGATAGGTGTCCACCCTTAAAATCTTCCCCAGTCAGGACGGTGGGCTCCAGCCCAAGGTTTCCTCCCAGCCCTTCGAGTCCGTGCCCCTGACCTGCGTCACCATAGCCTCAGCCCATGGTCACTTGAGGCGCTGGGCCGCGTGCCGGTCGCTCATTCCTCCGTGCCGGTCGCTCATTCCGCCTTGCCGTTCGCTCATTCCTCCTTGCTGACCAGTCGTGTCTGTTGGTGGAGGCACCACAGTGCATCTGTCTGTGGGCATTTTGGTTGTTGCCGCATCGGGGCTGTTGCTGGTAGAGCTGCAGGCAGTCTGTGTGTGCGAGCCTGTGGGTAGGTGTGCACAGCTGGGCCTCCCTCTCTGTGGGCTGCGGAGCCCAGCTCTCCTGTGTGTTAGTCGGCCTGTGCTAAAGCTCTCCTGATGCTCCTGTCGCCCAGAGGGGACCTCCCCAGCCTCCTTTTCTGTGGGGTAAATACCGAGGCGCCGCAGGCTGGCTCACACAGAGGCGAATGTCTAGCTTTGGAAAGCTGCTGGAGGGTTTCCAGAACGCCCACGTGTCATGTCTTTCTGCTGATGCTGTCTGAGGTCACTCTCACTGGCGCGTTGCTGTTTTATATTCTCTTTGGAGAAGTGTCTTCATTTTTTTCTGTTCTCCTTCCCTGACTGTTGTGGTCTGATCCTCCCTTGTCACACATGTGACTTGAGGGTGTTTTCTCCCTGCCTGTCCTTTCACGCACCGAGCGGGGGCCTCACACTTTCCTCACGTCCCAGCATCTCCCCTTGTTCTCTGAGGCACAGATTTTTCTGGTGTGTCTAAGACAGCTTGCCTAATCCGTGGTCACTGAGATTTTCTGTTTTGTCCTAGAAGATTTATAGTTTTGGGTTGTGTATTTAGACCTGGGACGCGTCTTGAGTGAGGTTTCTTACATGGTATAGCGTCGGCACAGGCACCTTGACGCCCAGCGGTGCCCACCCCAATTGCTGGGAGGGCTCCCCTCTCCGCTGCATTGCCGTTGCAGCTTTGTAAGAAACTGTGGGTTTACTTTGGACTCTTCTGTGCCCGACGTGTTTGCTTCACTTTGCACCAGGGCCGTGCTGTTTCTATCCCTTCCACTTTACCATCATTTTCGAAGTTCAGCGTCAGCCTCCAGCCTTGTTTCTTCTTTCCACAGTTGTTTTGTCTTTTCCTGAAGCTTTGCGTTTCCACGTAAATTATAAAGGGGGCTTGTCGCTTTCCACTGGGATCCTGCTGACTCTCAGCCATTCAGGGAGTTGGGCGTCCTTGTTGCTGGTGTCCAGGGTCTCACAGCTCCTTCTCCCCTCAGGGTGTCCGTGCCGCTGCTGAAGACGCTGGACCACGTGCTCACCCACGGCTGCTTCGACATCTTCACCACGGAGGAGGAGTGAGGCTCTGCTTTTCATGACTTCCCTTCCGATTAAGCCTAAGTAGCTCATGTATTAAAGAAAAAGTCATCAGACACAGAGATCAGAATTCCAGGAAATGATCTTCCAGTGCGTTCTGGGTCAGTTATGGTGACTGTAAATACCGTCATCACAGCTGGCCCTCAAAATAACGCAATAATAACATATTTACATAATGACATATTATGACTGTAAGTGCAGTCAGCCCCATCTGGGGCTGAGGCGGGGGCCCTGCTGTGCACTCTCCCCCCAGCTATCCCACCGGGCCAGGGGTGGGCCTCAGGGTTGTGCTGGGAGCCGCAGGGCCTGAAGGGGCCTCGGCTGTACGGGGATGAGACTCGCAGGGGAGAGGGCAGAGGCCGGTGACCTGGCGAGGACTTGCCCAGGAGATTGGAGCTCCTTGCTTCTGCGCCACGCGGATGCCCCAGGCTGGTCTCAGCTGGGTTGTTGGCTCTGAGTGGTCATCTCGTTGCTGCCATATTTTCTTGCTTCATTGAATTTCACTGTGTTGGGCCAGTCTTTTTTTTTTTTTTTTTTTTTTGAGACAGGGTCTAGCTCTGTTTCCCAGGCTGGAGTGCAGTGGCACAATCACAGCTCACTGCAGCCTCTACCTCAGCCTCCCAAGTATCTGGGACTACAGGCATGCGCTGTAGTCTAATGTACGGCTAATGTTTGTATTTTTAGTAGAGACAGGATTTCACTATGTTTCCCAGGCTGGTCTTGAACTCCTGGCCCCAAGTGCCTGCCTTGGCCTCCTAAAGTGCTGGGATTACAGGTGTGAGCCACTGCGTCTGGCCTGGATATATTTGTATCTGGGGCACGTTGGGTCATCTGGAGACAGCGTGGTCTGTTTTTGGGGGCACTGCTTTTTTTTTTGTTTGTTTTGAGATGGAGTCTTGCTCTGTTGCCCAGGGTGTAGTGCAGTGGCTCGATTTCAGCTCACCGCAACCCCGTCCCGGGTTCAAGCAGTTCTCTCGCAGACTTCTGAGTAGCTGAGATTACAGCTGTGCACCATCACACCTGGCTGATTGTTTGTATTTTTAGTAGAGACGGGGTTTCACCACATTGGTCAGGCTGGTCTCGAACTCCTGACCTCAAGTGACCTGCCCACCTCGGCCTCCCAAAGTGCTGGGATTACAGGCGTGAGCCACTGAGCCTGGCTTGGGCGCTACTCTTAAGCTGTCAGGTGGACCCAGAGCTGTGCTGGTCTCCAGGGTTTTCTGCCCCTTTAAGGTCTCTGCTCCCTGGCGCTTCCCTTCCCACCGCTGCTGGGGCAGTGCCGGGGCTTCTGGCCATCTTTTGGGTGGTTCGTCCCCAGCCTTGGACAGCGTCCTCGTACTCAGGTACTGGCTGACCCAGGCCCAGGTTAGTCCTCAGCGGCCCCCAGGAAGCCCCCTCTGGTGCTCAGAACCTGAGCGAGCTCTGCAGACTTGGAATTTCCCGCTTCTCACCACGGGCTTCCCGCTGGAGTCTGCCACCTGCTGGACTTGGCTCTGCCTTAACCTTCGGGCGGGAGGCAGATCTGGTCTCTGTTGCTCCATCTTTGCTGGACGCTGCACATGTTTTTAAATCTAACAGCATTGAAGGGTTTCCCCTTTTAATTTCTTAATGGGGCATCACTGACTGACCTTCTTTACACCTGCTGTTGGAACAGCCTCCATGTTCACAGGTGCACCCAGCTCGGTTGTGGCGTATTATCCTTTAATACAATGCTAAATACTCCATTTAAATTTTTTTTTTGAGATGGAGTTTTGCTGTTGTTGCCCAGACTGGAGTGAATTGGTGCGATCTCAGCTCACTGCAACCTCTGCCTCCTGGGTTCAAGTGATTCTCCTGCCTCAGCCTCCCTAGTAGCTGGGATTACAGGCATGTGCTACCATGCCCAGGTAATTTTGTATTTTTAGTAGAGATGGGGTTTCACCATGTTGGTCAGGCTGGTCTCGAACTCCCGACCTGAGGTGATCTGCCCACTTCTGCCTCCCAAAGTGCTGGGATTATAGGCGTGAGCCACCGTACCTGGCCTAAAATATTGACATATATTTTTCTGGCTTAAAAATTTCAAAATAAGCCTGGGCGCCATGGCTCACGCCTGTAATCCCAGCACTTTGGGAGGCCAAGGCGAGTGGATCACTTGAGCTCCGGAGTTTGAGACCAGCCTGGCCAACTTGGTGAAACCCCATCTCTACAAAAAATACAAAAACATTAGCCGGGTGTGGTGGTGCCTGTACGGCTTGGGCCTGGGAGGCGAAGGTTGCCGTGAGCTGAGATTGAGCCACTGTGCTCCAGCCTGGGCAACACAGCCAGACTCTGTTTCAAAAAAAAAAATTTTTTTTTTCCAAGATAGGATGGTAGAGAAAATACCTCCTGCCATGTCCTGCTATGAATACAGCTTTGTATTTCTCTCTCTAGTTTTGTCAGTTTTGGCTTTTCAGATTTTGAAGCGTGTTTGTGGGCTGAATCTTGCCCTTATCACCCATTTCTAGGATGCTTTTTGCTCCACTCATTCTTTGTCTTGCTTCACTTGACTTTGAACTGTATACTTTTTTCCATCGTTTTACTTTCAGTATCTTCATACATGTATGTTTTTGTACGCCTCTCTTAGAACAGTGTATGGTTTTGTAAAAATTCAGCCTGTAGCTTTTACCTGCCTCCTTCATGACCTTTATAATCCCCTTGGTTCTCAGCCTGCCACTCACAGGACTTTTCCCTGTGCTGCGTTCCCAGTGCCCCCTCCCCGCCCCCACCTGTGCTTTTTGTTGGATTAGTAGAATTGCTTTTGTCATTCCATTGTTTTCATATATTTGTTTGGGACATTTTACTTTTTTCTGTTAACGCTTACCCTAGAAATTAGAAATGACACCACGTATTCTTAGCGAAGTCCAGTTTTCAGCATTTTGTCCTTATTGGACAATAGCAAGGATATTAGAACGTGTTGGTTCCGCGTGCTTCCGTCTTGAGTTATGTGCTGCTATTGTCGGATATTTTGTCTTAGATGTACGTACTTTCCTGTTCATTGTGGTATGTGTAATTTGCGTTACTTTGAATTTTCCACGTTTTTACTTTCTTTGTCTCTCATCACTTACTGCTTTTGGGACCCCCCCCATCGGGGTTCACATTCCCTCTCCCTAGAGCACACTCCCTTGGATTTCCTCGAGTGGGGTCTGCTGCGGTGAAGCTTTCCCATTTTATGTGCAGATTATTTTCAGAGGGTATATAGAATTCAGGCAGCTGTTTCGTTGTAGCACATTAAAAATATTTTCCCACTTCCTCCTTGCTTCTGTTGTTGCTTTTGAGTGTTACCTCTGAGTCTGCCTGTGCTCCCTGGAAACGGCCCGGGTTTCCCACCCCCTGCCCAGGTTTGCTCCTTCCCTGGTTTTTCTGTCATTATCACGCTCACGTGTTTCCCTCGGTCACCCCCTCTGCAATTTTCACACGTCTTTTCCCTCTCTCTTTGCTTCATTACCTTTGGCCCGCCTGCCAGCTGCTGATTCTCTCTGAAGATGTCTCTAAATGACTTTTAACTGTGATTTGTGGAATTCTTATTGTGGAGTTTTGCGTCTTTTCAGGTGTAGGTTTTTTGTCTCGCGTGTTTCCACGTCTGCTTGTAGCGCTTTCCGCTTCGCCGTTCCCTGCGGCCCTTCCTTCCGTGCCCGGTGTTCATCCTCTTGAATGCTCTTTTCCTGCCTGTTTGGCTGGGTGTGTCTGAGTTGCAACCTGAGCGGGTTTCTTTGTCTTCTTACTTGTCTGGTATTGTGTTCTCTCGGGACGTTGCGTTTGAGGGGTCGCACCTCAGAGCAAGCCGAGGTCTGGGCTAAGCCTGTGCTTTGGCAGGCAGGACCTTAGTTTGCCTTTTCTGGGCACCTGAGGAGAGGGTAGCAGCAGCCTGGGGTCTCCTTGACTCACGGTCAGCAGTGAGGGTTTCCTGGCCTGTTGGGTGGCTGGAGCTTGGCTGCATTCCCCACTGAGAGAGGGAGGTGCGCACCTTCTCCTCCCTGGAGTGGCCTTCCAGGTGCCCTCTCAGAGCTGCTCATCAGGGCTGTGCCTTTGTCAGCACCAAGCCTCAGCCCTTGTCCCTGCTGCCACTGAAGGCTCAAAACAACACTGCACAGCCTTGTGTGTCCTCTGTGTGTCGGCAGTTTCCCCCGGCTCTGCAGCAGCCCAGGCCAGGTAGCCTCTGGAGGGAGTGGTGGAGGAGCACGGGCATCCTGGCCGCCGCTGTGTTGGGGACAGACCCTGGGGCCTGGAAAGGGAGGTGGGGCCCCGTGGGGGCTGCTGCACCACAGGCAAGAGAGCAAGAGACAGCAGAGGCCGGCCAGGTGGTGGCACAGCCGCTAGGGACCAGGCCGGCCTGTGGAGGTATTGGGATGGGGACCAGCGGACTTGCTGGCAGAGGGGCCTCAGGGCTGCAGGCTTCTTGGACTGAGCCACTGGGAGGACGGAGTTGACCTTCTTTGAGACAGAAAAAGTGTGCATCCCGGGGCTGCCTGTGAAAGCTCATCTCTAAAGTGTGTGTTGTTCTTCCAGCCACCCCTTTGCTGTGAAGTTGCTTGCGCTCTGTAAGAAAGAAATCAAGAATTCAAAAGATATCCAGAAGCTCCTGTCAGGCATCGCAGTGTGAGTTTCAAGTGCTGCTGGCCTTAGACGGAATGGCAGGGCGCAGCCTCCCTTGGCTGAGGGCAGGAGTCCACGGCTCCAGGCGGGAGAGGAGCAGTTAGTGTTACTCCTCAAGCTAACCTAAGATCGTGCATTCCAATGTTCAAAGCAGTCGCAATGGGAGGTGAGGCAGCCCAGGTGCTGGTGGAGGGAGTTCCCGCGGGAACAGGCGAGCTCTGCCTCTGCTGCCCTCGCGCTCTGCCCTGGGGGGAGGGGAGGCTCCGGAAAGGAGCTGCGTGGTCAGGGGCTGCCTCCCCGATTCTCCTGTGTGCCCTGGGGGTCGCTGTTGAGTGCCTTGCTCTGCGGCGCTCAGGTGGACACTGGGCAGGTGCGCCAGCCAGCGATAGGCACCTTGGCTGCTCTGTGGCTCCTTGAGGTGGGGGTCCTCATGGCAGGGCGAGCGGCCCTGCAGGAGATCCTCTGTGAGGCGTCCTCACTTCCCACAGTGACTTTCCAAGTGCGACACTCGCGTGTGTAGGCACAGTGCAGATGTGCGCACACACACACCTCCGGCTTGGGGCCCCAGGCCCGCACTGTGCTCACGGATCTGCTCTGCCCAGGTCTCTGCATGGGCCTTTGGGTCCGGGGTTTGCTGGGGTTGGCCTGCGCGGGGTGGGGCTCACCTGGAGCCATGTGCTGCTCCCGGCAGGTTCTGCGGGATGGTGCAGTTCCCCGGCGACGTGAGGAGGCAGGCCCTCCTGCAGCTGTGTCTGCTCCTCTGCCACCGTTTCCCGCTGGTGAGTGCCTGCCCCTGCTCACGTGTGTTTGCCGTGTGGACACAAGCCCCTCAGTGACAAGAAGGCCTTCGCTGGCACTGTTGTGTTGGTGTGCTTTCCAGCTGAGCCCCTCTCGTTAACGCGCCTGGGTGACGACGCGTCACAGGCACGCGGCTGCCAAGGGGCTCTGGACGCCACTGTTCTGGCTTTAAGGACGGGCTGTCCGGCTGGCGTTTCTATGGACATACATTGAGGGGTGACCTGGCGGTGGGATCTGGCTCAGGAGCTTCCAGAAGGACCCAGGCTGAAGTGGTTCAGCCACACCTAGGGGCAGTGCCCTTCATCCCCAGCACTCCCCGGCTATTAGATTTCTAGGATTTCTTTTCTCCTGGCTGCAAAAAAAACCTCAGATGATACAAAGGTGACATTTTCCTAAAAGGCAAAAGTAACTTCATGTTGTATGGTGGTTCTCGAAGTGGGGTGCCGGACCCTCAGGCTTGGCACCTCTGGGGCTTCAGCAGTGCAGCTCTTGGGCCCTGTGCTGCCGACTCAGCACCTCCAGGGTGGGCCCGGGGCTCAGACCACCAGCGCAGTGAGACATGATGACCAGGGCACCACTCGAAAAGAGAGCAGGCGAGATTGCTTCCCTGATGAAAAGAGAGCAGGCGAGATTGCTTCCCTGATGAAAAGAGAGCAGGCGAGATTGCTTCCCTGGTGAAAAGAGAGCAGGTGAGATTGCTTCTCTGGTGAGGGAGCAGGTTGGTTAATAGCAGGTGAGATTGCTTCTCTGGTGAAAACAGAGCAGGCGAGATTGCTTCTCTGGTGAGGGAGCAGGTTGGTTAATGGAGAGCAGGTGAGATTACTTCTCTGATGAAAAGAGAGCAGGCGAGATTGCTTCTCTGGTGAGGGAGCAGGTTGGTTAATAGATAGCGGGCGAGATTGCTTCTCTGGTGAGGGAGCAGGTTGGTTAATAGATAGCGGGCGAGATTGCTTCTCTGGTGAGGTAGCAGGTTGGTTAATAGAGAGCAGGTGAGAGTGCTTCTCTGATGAAAAGAGAGCAGGCGAGATTGCTTCTCTGGTGAGGGAGCAGGTTGGTTAATAGCAGGCGAGATTGCTTCTCTGGTGAGGGAGCAGGTTAGTTAATAGAGAGCAGGCGAGATTGCTTCTCTGGTGAGGGAGCAGGTTGGTTAATAAAGCATTTAAACAAGAATGATGTCATCTTCACTGCTGGGATCCTGCAGCTAGCTGTGTGTCTGTGGAGGGAGGAGGTGGTTAATGGGCCTGGAAGGCACCTCCTCTTGGTTGCAGCCCTGCTGTGGCTGGGATGGGATGCAGGGTCAGCGTCCTCCTCCTGACGCCTTCCACTGACGGGGCTCCCTGGCCTGGGTCCTGTCGTCTCTCCGGGGTGGGGCGGTGGCGCTTCCCTCCGGCAAATGCACTGCATCCCTGTCCCAGATCCGGAAGACCACGGCCAGCCAGGTGTACGAGACATTGCTCACCTACAGTGACGTCGTGGGCGCGGATGTGCTGGACGAGGTGGTGACTGTGCTCAGTGACACTGCGTGGTGAGTGAAGGCCCTTCCTGCACGGCCACCTGGGCCTGGCACCGCCCCTCTTCCTGTCCCCACCGTGTCTACTCGTCTCTCCCAAAACCCTCTGATAGGAGGAGGAAAGAGGGTTCCCAGGTCTCCACATCCTCTGCTTGGGTTTTACAAGGCAGCCGTGCTGCTGTAGCCGAAACCTCTTCTCAACCGCCCTGTCCCCAAACAGTGTCAGGTGTCAGGAACACAGCAAAGCCATCCATCCCACCAGGGGAGCGGGCACCTGTACCACAAGGCTGTGTCTGGTGGCCTGTGGAGCAGAGGGCACTGAAGGCCTGGCAGGTGCTGCTGCCCCAGACCTCTCTAAAGTTCTCTTGGAATAGGCCGTGTGAGCACCTGTTGGAAATCAAGAGGCACAGGCGGAAATAAGAAAAGCTCTCCCCACGCCTCTGCTCTGATGTCCACCCCCTTCCTCAGGGCCATGAGGCCCTCAGGAGGCCATAGTGCCACTCTCCACGTTTACTTTGGCAGGCACAGTTTCTGCAACATGGGCTGGCTTCTTTACCATGGGTGGAGTAGAATGGCGGTTTTGAAAGATGTGTGTATTGAGTTGGGGGTGGGAGGGTCTGAATGAGAGCAGAGTGGGGAAAGTGCAGGCTCAGGTGTCCTGGGCCAACCGGTATGTTCCTGGGAACAGCAGTGATGGTGTCTTACACATATGGGCATGGGCACCCATGCTGGCTCACACACATGCTCACTCGCGCGCACACACACACACACACACACACACACACTTCTAAAAGGGGAGCAGTCTCGTCACCCCGTGTTGGAGATCAGGACTGAAGCAACCAGAGGCTGTGTGGGTGTCCACATGGCATACCCGGGGTGGTGGAGTCCCAGGTGTCCTGCCTGTGGACGCTGCTCTGTTTTGAGTGCCGACTGTGAGGGCCTCCGTGCTGATCCCGGTGCGTTGCTACAGGTCTGTGGGGTCCACGCCCCTTGTTGAATCCAGCAAGGACGTAGGTGACGTTCCCTAGGTGTCTCCTCGGAACAGTGACCTTCCAACAGGGCTGGGTTCCCATAGAGCTCACGCACCAGGCAGCCGCTGTGGCCTCGGAGGACAGAGGTGGCCTCTCCAGGGCTTCCGCGAGGTTTTCTGGTTTGGGGAGGAGTGTGTGTCTGCTCCTAAACAAACACGTGGTCCCAGGAGAGGAACCGGGAGCAGCTGGGCTGTCTTCTCAACATGCGTTGAGAGAATGGCCATCTTAACTACTGCTCTGGATACCCGTTTTTACAATGATTTTTTTTAAAAAAAAACACCAAGGTGCATTCTGGACCAGATTCTAAAATAATTGGCTTTAGGACTGAAGAAGCCAGGTGTCCCGAGCGGGGCGAGGCCTCCTCCAGCGAGGCTGGGTCGGGGTGGCCTCCTTTCCTCACATCAGGGAGGGAGGAACTAGCAGGGTGGGCCTGGGGGCTTCTCCTATCGTTTAATCCCCTTTCTGTTAAAAAAAAAAATCCTTAGAATTTAAAGAGAATATTTTAAATTAGAAACGAAAAACATGCCCCAGATATCTCCACAGCATTGCTAGAATTTTTATTTCGCATCAACAGCTAAATTAAAACCTGGAAAACCCTTGTCAGCCCCTCCTTGGCCTCGCTTGGTCTGTCCTCCCGCAGTCCCTGCGCTGGGCGTGGTCCTTCCCGAGGGGCACCCCTTGTTGGGAAGGAACCGTCCTCCTGCGATTCCGGAAAGGGCTCAGGCTCGAGGCTCTGCTGGAGAACGTGCTCCTGTGACGTCTTTTCTGCCCTCAGCCTGGCTATGGATGTCGGGGGTGAGGTCTCCTTTCCCTGACTGCGGCCATGGAAGCTTGACGCGGGACCTCCGCACACCTGAGGTTCTCCGGTGGGCACTCGAGAGACTCACGGCTCTCCCTCTCCTCACAGGGACGCGGAGCTTGCAGTGGTGAGAGAGCAGCGCAACCGTCTGTGTGACCTTCTGGGCGTACCCAGGCCCCAGCTGGTGCCCCAGGTAACCCTGTCACCTTCACAGCATGAGGTGCCTGTGCTTCCCTGAGCTCTGGAATGTTCTGGGGCCAGCGGCTGTGCTTAGCTTCTGCCAGCACGTCCACACGGCCCGTTCCCTCGTCTCATGTCAGGACCCCTGGGATTACGGGACCAGCAGAGCTGCCTTCTCTGGCCACTGCCCACACCTGTGGGCCCCTGTGGCATCCAGGCCACTTGCTCTGGGGCGTTTGGGGGGCCGGGGAGTGGGTGGAGCTGGCACCAGCTTGATCCAGGCTCCTCATGCCTGGCCCTGGGGTCTGTTTGTGCTCCAAGTGCCAAGAGTGCCACCCTACCCCTCCTCATCTGCTTCCCATGAGTGGGGCCGGGGCTGGGTGAGAGGCCCCCAGAAGCTGCCCCTGTGCACCTCACCAGCCCGTCACTCTTCTTCTAAAGTAACAAAAACAAGTACCTCAGTTCTCACGGGGGCTGGGGCCCAGGGTTGCTGTGCTGTCTCTCTAGTTACCAGGGTTGGCTCCTTCCTCTCAGCCTCCTTCCGGCAGGAGGTTATATCTGAGAGGGAGGAGGAGAACCATGTCCAGATACATGGGGGCAGTGGGGATGGGCTGAGCATCAGGACACAGCCTCCCCCATTTCTGTGTGTGTAAAGGCTGAACTCAACAGCAGACTTTGGAATTAAATGTGCTTTTTACATTTTTATTAGGAAAAATTTCAAACGTGTGAATGCAGGTTAAGAGCAGTGCAGTGAACCTCCCTTCCCGCTCCCCAGATGGGGTGCCCTTCCGAGGACACGTTAGTCATGAGCACCTGTCAGCCACATAGCTCAGGCTGCCGGGTGTGTGGGAAACGGCACAAATGGTTTCCTGCAGGAACCGTGTCAGTCCCCACACAGGGCCCAGAGGGGTGAGGGTCCCCTGGCTGGGAATGGTGTGTGTTGGAGCTGACCAGCCTGAGCTTGTCTTGTCTCTTCTTCAGCCTGGTGCCTGCTGAAGCCAGTCCTGGAGCCCATACCTCACCCCTGCCTGGTGAGGATGTCTTGTTCCTGAGGGAGGCCGGTGTGGAAAGCCTCGCACAGTGGTGCCTCCAGCTGTTGAAGGGTAGCGCTGGCCCTTGGAGGCTGGCACTAGCTGACAGCTTTTCCTCTCTGCACCTGCGCTCTGGTGACTTGGGGTGGACGCCTCTGCCTTCACTTGAACACAAATGTGCTTCCTATAAAATCATGTACCAAGAAGTTCCTGCCTTTTGTCTCTGAGCCTGATGTGTGTAGGGGTGATGGAAAGGCTCACTGCCCAGGGGTCAGCCAGAGGGGAGGTGGGCTGCACTCCTCCTGCCTGGAGACCAGGCCCCCTTCTTGCCTGGTGCTGTCCCTGCTGTGGGAGACGTCTGGCCACAGGCAGTGCCCCACCCAGTCTTGGAGAGAGATGAATGTTAAATCAGAGGTTCAAATGCTAGAGAACTGAGAAGCCCTGGTGGCAGGCATGGTCTGGAGTGCTGGGCAGATGCTGTTTCTGGGCCCGTCTGCCTGGTGGGGGTGCTGTCCTCCCCCCTGTGCACACGTGAGCATCGTGCATGTGGCCCCTCTGCAGTGCAGGAGTCACTGATTGATGGGTGTGCCGACCAGCAGCTTCACAAATGTCTGCTGCAAGGGGAATCGTCAGAGTCCAATGTGTGCCTCTACAGTAATGTGGGAAATAAATACCATTCTTGAAATAATTACACTGTCTTAGGAGAGCCTGGGCAGAGTCCACACTTGGGTTTTTAGGCAAAGGGCAGGAGGCTACCTTTGTCTCTGTGTCTGAGCTCGTGCTGATCCATCCCAAAGCTGGTGAGGGGAACGTGTATAAAAATTTCACTGTGGTAGCAACCCACACCCATCTCTGGGACCTGTGCTGTGCTCATAGGGCTTGAGGTGCAGAACCACGGCCAGCAGCACCAAAGCAGCCCCAGGTGTGGCCACTCAGAGGCCCAAGGGCTTGGGTGAGCAACCCTTTCCCTATGTGAGGAGCCCAGGGGTGCCATGTGCGTGGTGTAGATTAGGGTGGCTCCCTGGCCTGCTCTCAGGTGGGGATGGGGCCTGGACACAGGAACATGGGCAGGCCAAGAACTGGGAGGTGCCACCGCATCTGTGAGGCTTGTGAGGTCACCAGGACCACAAGACCAGGACTGTGACAGTCCGTGCTGTGTGTTTAGCAGACAGCTCTTCACGGGATGTGTGTGACGACCTGGCCACACAGGAGTGTGGGGTTAACACACTACTGTTGTTGTGTTTGACCTGGTGGCCAATGGTCTTTATACCCTAAAAGAGCCTTGGGTTACATTTTTACGAGATTTAAATATTTTATTCCAACCTGTGTAATAGGGGTCTCCTCCTCCTTGAACTGTCCCGATTGGCTGGGGTCACGTGGTGAGGGTCCTGGGTGACCAGGCCTAGCCTTGGCCACATGAGTCCACACAGTGGAAAAGGCTTGGCTCCTGTGGTCGGCACACATGAGACTCTGGTTGCGCCTGCTGGGTGTGGAACAGGCGCACCATCGCCATGCCTGCAGCTCACAAAGCTCCTGCTGGCCTGGGATGCACTGAGGATGGAAGGAACAAGTGGCTTCTGAGAAAAACATGATGAACTGTTCTTAGTGCAATTAAAAGAAGATTCCAGATAAATGGCATTTTAAGACATGGAGGCAGGTCGATTACCCACCCAGACCCATCAGTGACACTATGTGGCAAAGCAGTTCTTCTTTTAATGTCGGTCTAACTTAGCAACCCGAGGAAAGTGGATCACTCCACTGGCCACTGCCTCTTTCCCACTGGATCCCATCCATCACTGGGGCACTTGTGCTCACCAGACACCTGGTGGCCTGGAAAGCCCTCTTTCAGCAGCCGTTTCTGGAGCCCACCAGGGTCCAGGTGATAGAGTTTGGCAAGGAACCCCTTGCTCACATGATAGCTGGGGCAGACAATAGCAAATGAACAAGCAAGCACCATCAAGGCAGGCAACACTGAGTGCTATGAACAAAGATAAAGTGGGCAATGGAATGGCATGTTGGGTGTTGACTCCGAGAAGGTGTTCAGAAAACCTCTCTGAAGGGGCAGCATTTGGGCAGAGGTCCAGACTGTGTCCAATGGCAGAAAAGAGAATGCTTGTGGTCCCAGAAGTGGAGCAAGCTTTGTGAGTTTAGAGAGCAGCAAGAAGCCAGTATCCCTGGGACCGGGGAGCTGATGTGGGATTTGTGTACCCACAAACACGTTCTAGGTGCTAACCAGAAACCCTCCATGTGAGAGCAGAGACCTTGGAGATCCTGAGGGTTTCTGCTGAGCCCTGGAATCTAGTCACGCTATTTTGATAGCAGAATGGATGAGAGAATTTAAGGCCCAGGGCCAGATCTAATGGACCGCTATATAAAGCTGGGACCCTAAATAAGTCTTTTTCAAAGGAACAGCAGCAAGACTCTTATCTCAATCTATCTCCCCTGAAGTGGCCTGAATTAATACTACCTGTATGATCCCCAAAACTCCTAAAGTGGAAAATTTGATTGACTTGGCCCTGACCAGTGGTATTCCCAGACAAGGGCAGAAGATGCAAATACAAAACCTCTCTGGTAGAATGTAGGCTATAATATGAGTACATTTTTGAAAAGGGCTAGAAATGATCAAGAAGAGATTAGAAAAAAACAGAGCCCCTAGAAATGTAAGAAGTGAAATGAAAAGCTCAATGGATAGCTTAGACACAGCTGAAGAGAGAATTAGAAAACTGGAAGATCTGAAAACATTATCCAGAGAACTGGAAGATATAACAGCAACATCAAGAGACATTGAAGAATGTCTAACCTTTGGGTAATTGGGGTCTCAGAATGAAATGAAGTGATGCAGATATTCCATACTGACATGCAACAGTCCCCAGATACAGAAGCCTAACAGTCTCACATTTAGACCTGCCACAGTGAAACTGCAGAACTGTAAGAAGGACAGAGTGATATAAACGACTACCAATTTCCCAGCAGCAGCACTGGAGTTGAGCAGTGAGTAGACCAAGGTCTTCATTATGCTGAGAGAAAATAGCTGTCAAGTTGCTTGAATTGTGCCCACAGCATAACATTAAAGAAGAGAACACAATTAAGTCATTTAGATAAAAATATGCCATTCTTATCTGTTTGGTTTTTTAATCTTGGCTTAATATTTGGGGTTGAGTCATTTGTTTTGAGAGCTGTCCTGTTTATTGCAGGGTGTTCAGCAACATCCCAGATGGAAGCAGCATCCCCCTACCCAGCTGTGACAAAAAGAAAAAAAAATGTCTCCAGACACTGCCAAATATCTTCTGGGGGTGCCCCTGGTTGAGAACCACTGCTTTAGTGGATAAACTTTAGGCAGGAGGGAAATGATCGCAGTTGGATAGTTGGAGGAATGTGGAGCAAGGGAAGCAATAAACTGTGACCATAAAAACATAGAAAGATGGCTTATATGTGGATTTTTTTTTAAAGCACGTAGAATTGCTTAAAATGGACAACAGCAGCATATAAATCAGTGGCAGAGTTGGTGGCTGAATTTAGAGCATCTTAAGTCTATGTTCTCCTGGAACAGAGTGCAGATAATTCAGTTATCAGCTTGGCTAGGTGCATGTTGAAGTATTTAGTCACACACAAACAGTTAATGTATGGGGAAGATAACTTCTATACTAGTAGGAGAGAAATGGAACAAGAATAAAAAATACACTATCAAAATATGCAAGAATGGCAAGAGGAAAAGGCAGAACAAGCTGCAAAACACACACACAATTAGAAATAAATATTTTGGGACACAATAAATGTGAATGGATTAAAACCTCTGTTAATGACAAAGTTCTCCAGTTAAAGGAAGGCAAATAGTGTTATTAGGAATAGATTACTATATGATGATTAAAGGCTCAGTTCAACAGGAAGATGATTGATAGAACTTTCCTACATTTGTAACACAGTCTTAGAAGATATTAAAGCAAACATTCAAGAAGAAATTGATCACCTACTACCATAGTGTATTTTATTGAATTGGTACATTTCAATAAAGTGTCATAAGGCACGGTTGAAGGAGAAAAACTTGACCCAATGGACAGTTACAGAACCCAAGTGTGTGTGTGTGTGTGTGTGTGTGTGTGTGTGTGTGTGTGTGTGTACACAGAAATTTTAAAAATGTTTTTAAAAACATCTCTTTAAAAGAAATAATGAAAATTATAAAATATATAATGAAAGATAAAAGTTAATCAAAACAGATAGAATTCACCTAAAGTGGTGCTTAAGCGATTCTGAAGTCGTGAATTATACATTACAGAAGAAAGGCTGGAAATTAATGAGCTGAACATAAGCAGAGGACTAACTGTAAAGAAAATTAGAATAAGAGCAGAATGAAAAGGAAATGAAACATAATAAAGAAACAAACCCAGATGGTTCTTCGGTGAAAAGACCCACCTGGGAGCAGCTGCCATGGGTCCGTCAGCTGAAGTGAAGGAAGTCCTGGCCCTCCTGCAAGTGCAGTGACCTCAGGTTGTCCTCAAAGGCGCCCCCTGTGAGGTCCTGTCAGGAGCAGCAGATTCAGCTCAGTCCGGTCTCCTGGCTCTAGGAGGCCACTGTGGAGCCTCCTCCAGGGCCAGGGGTTGGGGGTGGCCTGTGTCCACCTGTCAAGTGTTCTGCTCCTCTGCTAATAGCGGAGAGGCTGGAAGGAGACAAAGGCCAGAGAGGGCAGCAGCCGGCACTGCTTGTACCACAGGCCCTGTTGGTCACCAGAGGGGAGGCCCCCCCTGCCTTCTGGCCTTGCCTCTCTACATAAGGTGGCTGACTCTCCCTGGGGGCACTCGGAATGGAATGAGACTAACAGGCAATGCCTCTGCTGTTTGACCAGGGCAGACCCACCTTCCCTCCACACACCCACCCCTCTGCACAGGCCAGGAGTGGGAGGAGGCCCCTCAGACAGAAACTGCATCTCAGAACCATCAACAGCTGCCCCTGTCTGATCCCCTCTGGCCTCTGTCATCCCCACCCCTGCAATGGAGTGAGGGCTGTGACCCCGGGTCCCTGGATGCTTAATCTTGTCCTGTGTGCTGGCCTTGGCCAGGTCACCTACTCTCCTGTATGAGGCCACAGCAGGTGTCCAGAAATGCCTTTCAGACGTGCCCTGCACCCCAGCACCTCCTGAACAAGTTCCTGAAGACAGCCCGGCAGAGTGGTGGACACAAGTCTCTGGCCTCTGGCAGGACAGAGGAGGGACTATGCATTCCTGTCACAGTCCTTGGTCCTTGGGCCCAGCAGGAGGAATCGGAGCTTGGCTGCGCCCCTTACCCCCACCACATCAGAATCCATTACACCACCTACCACTGCTGTCACTCAAATGATGCTGTCACTCAAAGCCATCCTTCCTGGAAAACATTTCCACACACTCTGCCGCTATCTGTCCTTCCTCCCTTGTCTCTCTGCTCTAGAGTTTGCAAAGGAAACACACCTGAGTTCAGGGACCAGGCCAGCCCAGTGCGTGTTGACACCGTCTTAAACAAGACTCTGTTAAAACTAGATGCTTCTGTAAAGCAACATGTTCCATTAGGAGAATGAAAAGGCAAACCACAAAATGGAGGAAGACATTTGCAAAACATTAAACCAACAAAGTCGAGCAGCCAGAGGTGTAGGGGACTCCTACAGGTCAGGAGAGATGCAGCGTGCAGTAGGCCGGTGGGGAACCCTGATGAGAAACACCGCCAGAGAGGAAGGAACTCCAGTGTCCAGCGGGCACGGGGGGTTGTTGGTCAGACTCACACCTGAAACCACCATGAGAACACACTCCCCAAACGGCTGGCGACCAAGTGCCCAGCCCAGTGTGAGGGAGCCGAGCAGCTGGGCCCTCTGGCTCTGGGCATGTTCCTGGGCATCATCCAGAGAAGCTGAGGATGCAGCCACACCCACGACCTGCCTTCCACTCCCAGGATTAGACCCGAGGCAGGGATGCTCACGCAGGAGGACACAGCATCCTTGCAAGGGCAAACCGGGAACCACTGCCCACAGGCCTGGGTCCTGGCGTGGCCTCTGGGTGGGGTGGCGTTTGCACACGGGACGTGGAGAAAGTCCACACCATGCACAGCGATACGCACGCACCCCAAACACGTGGAGTGAAAACCAGATGCGAGAACACAGACACTGGATTCTGCTCACATGAACTACAAAAATAGGATAAATTAGACTATGGTTTAGGGATGTGTTCACGCACACGCCATGAGGGTTGGCCCTGCCAGGTGCCAAATGCACGTTCACAACCAACATAGACGGCATTTCGTTCCTGGAAAAGCAGTGATGTAAACGATGTTGGGACAATTATCCAAATAGAAAAATTGGCATCTGTAATCAAAAGAAATTCCAGTTGTATCAAAGATGTAATTAAAAACTAGAAATCCCAGAAGCAAAATGGGACAATGTTGTTTTTTAAATTTCACAACCAGGAGTGATTGTCTTAGAATGAATCAGACTCCATAAATGAAAGTCACTTAATTTGATTATATCACAATGGCAAAAATACAAAAATATCAAATGGCAGGAAAATTTGCAGCATGTCGGAGAGTTTTCCTTATGAAAAATACTGACCAATAGAAAAATGGGCTAATGAAAATAATAATTTACTGAAGGGGAAATAAAGCAGTTTATAAATATGTGAGAAGATGCTTTCCCTCCCTTTAAGGGCACGAGGCAGGTGCTCCATCGCTGGTGGGTTGGGTTGGCACAGCAGCTGCGGGTGGTGAACAGCCAGACTGGGATTGAATGTGTGTGCTCTTTGACCCAGAAATTTTTAGAATTTATTCCACACAGAGCCACTTGAGCGAAATTATGTATATATACAAATACTGCAGCAGCATTTTAAACAGCAGATGATTAAAAATGGCCAAAAGGTACATCAGTAAGTAACTGTATCACAAATGCATGAAACATCCATATAATCGAAGAGCGGGTGTTTTAGTGACAAACATGAACCTTGGGTTTCTCTTTACTCTTCCAGCTAACGGTGGAGGAAGGCACAACAACAGTGCCACCGAGGTGCCCTGAGACCCGCAAGCTGCTCCCGCCAAACGGAATTGCAGGGGAGCCTGATGCGGCCTCGGTCTGACCACCTCTCAAAAGGATGGAGCAGAACACGCAAAACCACAGGGAACCGGTCGGCAGAGTGCAGGATACACAAGCCCATTCTTCAGCTGAACTAAGAAAAGAGCGTCGGCGTCAGGGAGACAGAAAGGTCATGTCGTAAAGGTCACACGGACGCTGCCGGGTTCCAGCAAGCAAACTTAAAACATGAAGCAATTTATAAGGCAATTAGGAAGATTTGAACATCGATGGGATATTTGGAATTCTGTGGTGGGATGGTGGTTTTATGGTCCTTTTAACAGT
This sequence comes from Homo sapiens, assembly GCF_000001405.40. Classification (NCBI taxonomy): domain Eukaryota; kingdom Metazoa; phylum Chordata; class Mammalia; order Primates; family Hominidae; genus Homo; species Homo sapiens. The sequence continues at coordinate 151,567 of NT_187612.1, read as the reverse complement.
TTTTATCTCCTTGAGATAGGGAAATAATAATGGATGAAATTAGGCTAGAATGAGTGCCACAACACCAGCGTGGGGATTTGGAGGTGTGGAGGACACATAAGATGGACACGCTTGCTCCAGGGATGGGTACATAGGGCTGGTTTCCTGTCACTTTGCTAATATGGCTCAAATAAGCTGGAAATTTCCCTGAATAGAAAAGTCACAGCAACAGTAGAGCCCGGGGGCTCCAGCGGCTTCACACGGAATAACCTCCAATCTACACACGTGAAAAGAGCAAGAGATGGAACAAGCATGTGCTGTGAGGCCACACTGCCAGCTGCCCCTGGAAGAACAAGCAAGAGACAGGTGACCGTGGGGGCTCTGGGCCCTCCAAGGACACAGCGTGTGCAGGACAAGGAGGAACCTCTTTTCCCATGCTCAGCCGGCTCCCTGGGAAGGGTTTTCACCAAGTGCCTTGGGGTTCATATGAGTGCCCCAAGATAGTAGTGACACCACAGGTCACCATAACACATACGATAACAGTTTGACATATTGCGAGAATTACCACAAGGAGACGTGGAATGGGCATGCTGCTGGAAGAGCGGCACTGACGGGGTTGGAGAGGGGGTCCCTGAGAAGTAGATCCTGAAGAGGCTGTTTCTGAAAAACTAAACCAGATTCGTGTAGAATTTGCATTTTATAACTGCTTCTCGGAGCCTCCCGTTTACTCACCTAAATGTCCCCGGTAACTTGGACAACGGTTATTCAAAGGTTTTCATTACTTTGCTCAGATCCATCAGAGCAATCACTATCTTTGGCGGCTACGGCCTTAGAAAACGTCTTTCTCCAATAAGACTGGAAAGTTGGAATGACTCCTGGACCCACGGTCTGCAGAACGGATGCTGTGTCAGCACAAAAACACGAACCCCTCGTACATCAGCCTCAGAGCTCCTGGGTGACCAGGTGCACCGTCAATGAGCAGTCGTATTTTGAAAGGAATCTCCTTTTCTGAGCACTGGGCCTAACGGTGGGCTTACACTATTCCATCAACCGTGCTGTGCACAGATGTGCTGCCACCTGGGCCTTGCCGTTCCATTTCTAGAGCCACAGGCAGAGCAGATTTAGCCTCATTCCTAAGAATCCTAGGATTCTCAGAATGGCGACCACTGCCTTCAACTTAACCCATTTATGGCTGAGGTTGCAATTTTTCGAATTTTTGCAATCAGATCTTGGCAGTGACCTTAAGCAGAATATAAACTTGCACATGCTTAGCGTTCCAATAATGGAACACTAGGCATAGATGGGTTTTAAAGTCACGGCAAAGAGTCAGACTGTCTTTTGAAGCTCTGAAGCCAGGCATTGACTTCTCCCTACCTATGAAAGGCCTGCATGGTGTCTTCTTCCAGTTCAAGGTTGCTTCCTCTACACTGAAGATCTGTGGTTGAGTGCGGCCACCTCCATTGTGACCGTAGCATGATCTTCTGGAGAGCCTGCTGCCTCACCTCACACTCATATTACGGAGACGGCTTCTTTCCTTAAGCCTTGTGGGCCAACCTCTGCTAGCTTCAAACTTATGTTCACAGCTTCCTCACATCATTCAGCCTTCACAGAATTGAAGAGAGTTGGGACCTCGCTCTGTATTAGGCTTTGGCTTAAGGGAATGTTGTGGCTGGTTTGATCTGTCAGACCACTAACACTTTCTCCCTATCCGCACTATCATTTGTGTGTTCACTGGAGGACCACTTTTAATTTCCTTCAATAACTTTTCCTTTGCATTCACAACTTGGCTAACCGTTAGGCTGAAAGCTGGGCCTCTCCTGCCAGTCGTGGCTTTCGACATGCCTTCCTCACTAAGCTTAAACATTTCTAGCTTTTGATTTAAAGCGAGAGACGTGCGACTCTTCCTTTCACTTGAACACTTAGAGGCCACTGTGGGGTTATTAGTTAACCTAATTTCAATGTTGTGCCTCAGGGAATAGGGAGGCCTGAGGAGGGGTGGGGTGGGGGGGAGCGGGGAGGCGACAGCTGCTGTCAGAACATTCGCATTTTATCAATCAAGTTCACTGATTCATATGGGCGCCCCGAGATAGTAGTGACACCACAGGTCACCGTAACACATACAGTAACAGTTTGACATATTGCGAGAATTAACACGTGGAGATGGGGAGACGTGGAGACGTGGAGTGGGCGTGCTGCTGGAAGAGGGGCACTGATGGGGTTGCTCTCGTGGGGCTGCCACACGCCTGTAATTTATAAAATGCACAATGAAGTGCAATAAAATGAGATGCGCCAGTAGTTGCCAGAAAGCTGTGCCCAAGAGGCTCTGCTCACGTTGTTCTGCCTGGACTTGACTTGGATTAGTTGTGTGACAGCTCATCACAGGCCGGGCAGTGTAGACCAACACACGCTGGCCTCACGGCTTCTGCGGGGCAGGAACCGTGACCCGCCCTGGTGTGGCGTGCTTCTAGCTGTCACAGGTGCCCATGTCTGTGTGTCCCCCACAACCCCCCAACAGTACCGCTTGGGGCCTGGCTCACTCTATCAACCACTCACCCGTGGTTATTTACCAAGAAAATGCAAAGCAAAAAAAGCAGGGGTTGCAATCCTAGTCTCTGATAAAACAGACTTTAAACCAATGAAGATTAAAAAAGACAAAAAAGGGCATTACCTAATGGTAAAGGGATCAATGCAACAAGAAGAGCTAACTATCCTAAATATACACACACCTAATACAGGAGCACCCAGATTCATAAAACAAGTTCTTAGAGACCTACAGAGAGACTTAGGCAACCACACAATAATAATGGGAGACTTTAACACCCCACTGTCAATATTTGAGACAGAAAATTAACAAGGATATTCAGGACTTGAACGCAGCTCTGGACCAAGCGGACCTAATAGACATCTACAGAACTCTCCACCCTAAATCAACAGAATATACATTCTTCTCAGCACCACACAGCACTTACTCTAAAATTAACCACATAATTGGAAGTGAAACACTCCTCAGCAAATGCAAAAGAACAGAAATCCTAACAGTCTTTCAGAACACAGTGCAATCGAATTAGAACTCAGGATTAAGAAACCCAAAATCGCAGAACTACATGGAAACTGAACAACCTGCTCCTGAATGACTACTGGGTAAATAACAAAATTAAGGCAGAAATAACGAAGTTCTTTGAAACCAATGAGAACAGAGAGACAACGTACCAGAATCCCTGGGACACAGCTAAAGCAGTGTTAAGAGGGAAATTTATAGTGCTAAATGCCCACATCAGAAAGCAGGAAAGATCTAAAATCGACACCCTGACATCACAATTAAAAGAACTAGAGAAGCAAGAGCAAACAAATTCAAAAGCTAGCAAAAGACAAGCAAGATCAGAGCAGAACTGAAGGAGATAGAGACACAAAAATCCCTTCAAAAAAATCAATGACTGGTTTTTTGAAAAGATTAACAAAATAGACCACTAGCCAGGCAAAGAAAAGAAGAATCAAGTAGACACAATAAAAAAAGATAAAGGGGCTGTCACCACTGATCCCACAGAGATACAAGCTACCATCAGAGAATACTATAAACACCTCTATGCAAATAAACTAGAAAATCTAGACGAAATGGATAAATTCCTGGACACATACACCCTCCCAAGACTAAACCAGGAAGAAGTCGAATCCCTGAAAAGACCAATAACAAGTTCTGAAATTGAGGCAGTAATTAATACCCTACCAACCAAGAAAAGCTCAGGACCAGATGGATTCACAGCCGAATTCTACCAGAGGTACAAAGAGGACCTGGTACCATTCATTCTGAAACTTCCAAACAATAGAAAAAAAGGGACTACTAACTCATGAGGCCAGCATCATCCTGATTCCAAAACCTGGCAGAGACACAACAAAAAAAATTTCAGGCCAATACCCCTGATGAACACTGATGTGAAAATCATCAATAAAATACTGGCAAACTGAATCCAGCAGCACATCAAAAAGCTTATCCACCATGATCAAGTCAGCTTCATCCCTGGGATGCAAGGCTGGTTCAATATACGCAAATCAATAAACATAATCCATCACATAAACAGAACCAAAGACGAAGACCACATGATTATCTCAACAGATGCAGAAAAGGCCTTCAATAAAATTCAACACCCTTAGTGCTAAAAACTCCCAATACACTAGGTATTGATGGAACGTATCTCAAAATAATAGCTATTTATGACAAACCCATAGCCAGTATCATACTGAATGGGCAAAAGCTAGAAGCATTCCCTTTGAAAACTGGCACAAGACAAGGATGGCCTCTCACCACTCCTATTCAACATAGTATTGGAAGTTCTGGCCAGGGCAATCAGGCAAGAGAAAGAAATAAAGAGTATTCAGATATGAAGAGAGGAAGTCAAATTGTCTCTGTTTGCAGATGACATGATTGTATATTTAGAAAACCCCATTGTCTCAGCCCAAAAACTCCTTAAGCTGATAAGCAACTTCAGCAAAGTCTCAGGATACAAAATCGATGTGCAAAAATCACGAGCATTCCTATACACCAATAATAGACAAGCAGAGACTGAAACCATGAGTTAACTCTCACAATTGCTACAAAGAAAATAAAATACCTAGGAATACAACTTATAGGGGATGTGAAGGACCTCTTCAAGAAAAACTATAAACCACTGCTCAGGGAAGTAGGACACAAACAAATGGAAAAAAAAAATTCCATGCCCGTGGATAGGAAGAATCAATATCATGAAAATGGCCATAAAATAATTTATAGATTCAATCCCATTCCCATCAAGCTGCCATTGACTTTATTCACAGAACCAGAAAAAACTACTTTAAATTTCATATGAAACCAAAAGAGAGTCTGTATAGCCAAGACAATCCTAGGCAAAAAGAACAAAGCTGGAGGCATCACGCTACCTGACTTCAAACTATTCTCCAAGTCTACAGTAACCAAAACAGCATGGTACTGGTACCAAAACAGATACATAGATCAATGCAACAGAACAGAGGCCTCAGAAATAACACCACACATCTACAACCATCTGATCTTCGACAAACCTAACAAAAACAAGCAATGGGGAAAGGATTCCCTATTTAGTAAATGGTGCTGGGAAAACTGGCTAGCCACATGCAGAAAACAGAAACTAGACCCCTTCCTTACAGCTTATGAAAAATTAACTCAAGATGGATTAAAGACTTAAACCTAAAACCATAAATACCCTACATGAAAACCTAGGCAATACCATTCAGGACATAGGCATGGGCAAGGACTTCATGACTAAAACACCAAAAGCAATTGCAACAGAAGCCAAAATTGACAAATGGGATCTAATTAAACTAAGGAGCTTCTGCTCAGCAAAAGAAACTATCATCAGAGTGAACAGGCAGCCTCTGGAATGGGAGAAAATTTCTGCAATCTGTCCATCTGACAAAGGTCTAATATACAGGATCTACAAGGGACTTAAATTTACAAGAAAAAACCTCATCAAAAAGTGGGCGAAGGACATGAACAGACACTTCTCAAAAGAAGACATGTGGCCAAGAAACATGAAAAAAAGCTCATCACTGGTCATTAGAGAAATGCAAATCAAAACCACAATGAGATATCACTGGTCGTTAGAGAAATGCAAATCAAAACCATGATGAGATACCATCTCACACCAGTCAGAATGGCGATTTCTAAAAAATCAAGAAACAACAGATACTGGCAAGGCTGTGGAGAAGTAGGGATGCTTTTACACTGTTGGTGGGAATGTAAATTAGTTCAACCATTGTGGAAGACAGTGTGGTGATTCCTCAAGGATCTAGAGCCAGAAATGCCATTTGACCCAGCAATACCATTATTGGTATATACCCAAAAGGAATACAAATCATTCTATTATAAAGATACATGCACGCATATGTTTACTGCAGCACCATTCACAATAGCAAAGACATGGAATCAACCCAAATGCCCATCAATGATACACGGGATAAAGAAAACATGGCACATATAGCCCATGGAATACTACGCAGCCATGAAAAGGAATGAGTTCATGTCCTTTGCAGGGACATGGATGAAGCTGGAAACCATCATCCTCAGCAAACTAACACAGGAACAGAAAACCAAACACCGCATGTTCTCACTCATAAGTGGGAGTTGAACAGTGAGAACACATGGACACAGGGAGGGAAACATCACACACTGGGACCTGTTGGAGGGTGGGGGGCAAGGGGAGGGAGGGCATTAGGACAAACACCTAATGCATGCGGGGCTTAAAACCTACATGGCGGGTTGATAGGTGCAGCAAACCACCATGGCACATGTAAACCTATGTAACAAATCTTCATGTTCAGCACATGTATCCCAGAACTTAAAGTAAAATTAAAAAAAAAAACTACTCACCTCAGCCCCCCGCAGCCAGCCTGGACTCCCCACGCTTGGGGAAAAAGGCTGCATTTGGAGCCCGAGGCACCCATCACCTGCCCACCCCAGGCAAGGGTCGTTCACACTCAGGGGCTGAGGACATCCCCGATGCAGCCACCTCAGTCCACGGGAGCTGGAGGTCCTGGCCTTGGCCCCTCAGACATGGCACCGCAGGGCCTCGTGCTTTGCAAGTTTCTAACAAATGTTGGCTTTATGGGTATTTTAAGACAGAAGAGAGACCGGAATCCATCCCCCCCACACCCATGCAGGCCACCCTCTCCAGCTGCCTCCTGCCCCCAGGGCAGCGGCCACCACCCCACAGCCTGGTCTGTGGTGCTGTTGTGGACGGCTGTGGCACCTGTCCCCATGCCCACCATCGGCTGGGGTCTCATCCCAGGCCACACAGTCATTGCACAGCAGGGCGGGTTGTCCAGGTGGCAGAGCCCGGGATCCCCAAGCCCTTCCACGGCCAAGGGCCCCACACTCACCAGCTTCACGCAGATGACGAAGGGTGGCCGGGCGGCTCGGAAGTGCAGGATGGGGATTCGGGGCTTGGGTCTTTCCTGAGAGTGACAGTGGCCATCAGTCCTGCCCGAGCCTGGAGCTTGTCCCCGGAGAGACGCCCTCAGGGTGCACGCAGCCACCAAGTTGGCTCACACAGGAGCCAGGGCTTGGGCAGCAGATAACGTGCCAGGGTCACAGACTGCGGCAGGTGTTCAGAGCAGGAACCCGGCTCCCGCCACCCCCGCCTGACACCCGACTGCAGAACTGACCAGGGTGGGCTACCCCAAGGCCTAGACCCACGAGGGACAGCGGGGTTCTCCCCCCAAGAATGGGGGCTGGGCTCCCTGGAGGCCCCGAGGAGCCAGCACGGCCCAGGTGGACTCTGCCAAGGGGGAAGGCTCGGAGCAGCTGTCCCTCAGCCCCGGAGCAGGTGGTTGACCCCAAGGGTGACACCATGCGGCCCTGCACACCTGAGAGTCCTCGTGGCAATAGAAGCCTTTCCTGATCTTGTTCTCGTCCACGTCACAGAATGCCACCACCTGGGGACAAGCACAGAAGGGCAGCTCTGGACAGGCCGGGGCCAGGGCCTGTGCTGTGGGACAGTACGGGGGCAGGGCAGGCAGTGTTGGAGGGTGGCAGGATGCTCACCTTGCGCTGGCTGCCGGCAGTCAAGCTGCGGTACAGCCGGCGCCCCTGCTTGCCAGCGTTCCAGATGGTGAAGGCCGCCCAGCGGGGCAGGGCCTGCTCTTCCAGGAAGCGGACGCGGTGGGTCCAGATGGTCGTCCTGCGGTGGAGAAGAGGGTGATAGGCAGGCCGGAGGCCCCACAGATGCACACAGATGCTGACATACAGGGACATGATGTGTGCTCAGCTCACGTTGCCAGTGGAGTGGACACCTGGCCCAATGCCTAAGAGAGACTGGCTGTCCTACAGTCAGGCCACCTGCCCCAGCTGGACGTAGCCACATGCCTAGGTGGGGATCCACCCCTTCCATTAGACCCCAACAGGTGGGGACAGATGAGAAGCTGTCACTTAAGAATCTAGAAGGTTCTGGAAGGCAGAATTTCTGTAGGACGCAGAGGACTGGACTTGACCCAAGTCCAGTTTCCCAGAGAAACCTTTGTCCATACGGACACATGCAACCATCCCATAAAATCCCAGCGTTCACACTTGGACACGACCTTCTGCCTCAGGGTCGCTGCCCCGAACCCTTCCACTCCCCTGGGAACCTGGTCTCTGTTCTCCCTCTGCTGTGACAAGTCGACCCCAGGCTGCTGTCCCGGGGGGAGCAGGCTCCTTCCCATGACCTGCTGCTCTGCCCAGCGCCCAGCCCCATCGCTGCCCGGGCCCTTCCCAGCCCCGCCCTCTCTCCTCCCACCGCAGCCCCTCCCCACGTGCCCCATCGCTGTCTGCCTGTGTGTGCCTCTCCCTCAACCCTGCTCCTGGAGCTGCCCGGGCTGAGCCCGTCTCAAAGCCCCAGGAGCTGGACGGGCCAGAAGCTAGAGGGGCAGGGGATGCAGAGGCCAACGGGGCCAGAACGGCGTGGGATGTGTCCCAGATGCTGTCCTCCCCAATGGCCGCGATGTAGCCACGCTGAAGCCCGGTACCCCACAGACCCTGCCCTGGCCGAGTCCTGGGATGCCCTCTGCTGTGTCAAGGGAGCTGTGTCCGTGGGAGTCTCCTCCGGGGTGGGGTCTGGGCCAGACACAACCAACACTGGCTGGTGACGGGCCTCCCCTGAGCAGGGCCCTCGTGGGTTCAGCCTCGGGATCGGGGCAGGATTTCGCTGTTCTACGATTCTGCTGCTGCCTCCGCCTCCCGGGATAAACTTGTGACTCCCCCCCAACCCTGTGGCACCCCCTGTTTGTAGCAGAACCCCCACAGGCAATGGGATGGGGGGGATGGGGGGACACGGGGTCCCCTCTGTCAGCTCAGGGAGCTGCAGGGCTTAGGCACTGTCAGGGAGGTCCTGCCTGGAGTCTACCTTTTCCTCCCCAACCCTCTGCAGCCACCTCAATAGTCCGGACCCCACCTGGGACACAGGGAGATGCTTATCCCAGTCAGTGACTTGGGGACACTGAAGCATGTGTGTGTGTGTGTACACTGGGGGTGTATGGTGTGTGTGTGTGTGTACACTGGGGGTGTATGGTGTGTGTGTGTATACTGTGTGGGGGTGTATGGTGTGTGTGTGTATACTGTGTGGGGGTGTATGGTGTGTGTGTGTATACTGTGTGGGGGTGTATGGTGTGTGTGTATACTGTGTGGGGGTGTATGTGTGTGTGTGTACACTGTGGGGGTGTATGGTGTGTGTGTATACTGTGTGGGGGTGTATGGTGTGTGTGTGTGTACACTGGGGGTGTATGGTGTGTATGTGTGGGGGTGTATGGTGTGTGTGTACACTGTGTGGGGGTGTATGTTGTGTGTGCACAGTGTGCATGTGTGGTGAGTGCATGTGTACATGAGCACGTGTACAGTGTGTGCAGGTGTTCGGAGTACATGCCTGTATGTACTGTGTGGATGTGTGTACACGCATGTGTACACGTGTGTGCAGTGAGGGCCTGTGCATGCAGTATGAGTACATGTATGCAGTGAGTGCACATGCCTGCATGTACCGTGCAGATGTGTGTACATGCAGTGTGTGTGCACGTGAGTGCGTGTGTGCAGTGAGCGTGTGCAGTGAGTACGTGTGTATACTTTCGTGCACGTATGTGTGTGCATGCTGTACATGTGCTCTGTGTGCACGTGCAGTGTGTGTGTGTGTGAGAACCTGGGTGAGGACAGCTCCTGCAGACGGCTGCGGGGACTTCCCCACCAGGTGACGCAGCCTCGCCGGGTTTTGGCATCTTGTCCTTAGCAGCCCGGGTGTGTTGGGTGTCTCGGGGCGGGGGGACGAGCCTGATCCTCCTCATCCACTGACATCAGCTTAGGGACCCCAGGGGGTTCACGTGACAGGAAAGCAGTCAGGGCTCCAGAAGAAAGCGGGGGCCTCTGTGGCCGTGGGTGGCACGCGAGGTTTGGGGGGCCTCTGACACCGGCCTCCTCGACGGCCCCTTGTCTCCTGGGCTTTCCTAGGGGTCTCTGGTCTGAAAATGTTGGCCCATCGTAGGAAGGTAAAATGTAGAAGCAGCCATGATGTCTGTATTTGGTTCATCTTCATTTTTCACATTTTAAAAAGTTCTCATTTAATCAGGGAGAACAGGCTCCCCAGGGCGCCCTATGCCTCTCTTTTTACATCCTCAGAGGAAGCCGTGGCCCCGCCTTAGCACCGGGAAAGGTGGAAACCCAGTTTTTCCCAAAAGCACAAGACAGCATTTCTGGAAATGTTGCAAAGGAGCTGAAGTGTCAGGGACACGTCACCGCATGAGGAGGCGGCCAAGGTGCCGGTGGGCATAAGGGAGAGGAGCGCGGACGCGGGAGGCCCCAGCATGCAGGAGTGAGGATGATGCCCCCAATGGGGAAGCTCGTGGCCCTCCTGCCAACCCCCCAGCCCCACCCCGTGACCTTGGACCTTAGACCCCCTGGGGAGCTGGGATCTTGCCGAGAGTCTCAACCCCATCACGGCAGGCCTGGGACCATCGCGGCTCCCACACCCACACATGACCCTAGTTGGGGTCTTGAGACTCCGGGGGCCCTGAGTACCCGTAGGGGCCGAGACGCAAGCCTCGGACGGCGGCCTGCTTTCCAACTTAACGCTGCGGCACGCGGCAGGCAGGTGGCCGAGACCTCTGTGTCCTCACAGTTCTAAGGAGGGAACTGTCTGCCCGGATCTAAGGAAGGAATTCTACATGCAGTTTCACCCCGATTTGCCTCACCCCTGCCACGGCTCCAACGCAGCCACGCGGCACCCCCAGACCCGGGCCCACGTGGCCGCTCCTCACAGTGACACGGGAGAGGGAGGCGGACCCCGCAGCACTGGGCGCGTCCTCACTGGGTGCTGCGATTCCCTGGCCGTGCCTCTGCCACCCTCCACGGCAGCTGCGCCCCCCAGGCCTGTGGTCCCCGCCGGACCCCACTCATGAGACTCCCGTCGGGTTAAAGGGAGCACAGGGTTTCAGAAGGACCCGGCGCGTGGTCATTTTACCTCTGGGAACTAGGGAAGGACGTTCGGCCTTCACCCTGGCGCTCCCTGGCGCCCTTGGGAAATGCCCCTTCGTGGACGCCGAATCCCCGCCACCCTCGGGATGTGCTGTTGCCCCGTGTCCCACCAGACCCTGGGTCTCAAGGCAGAGCCTGACCACAGCCTCTGGGGTCGGCCCCACCAACCCCGGCCCCGACCTCGGGCGCCTCCCGTGTTCCTGGCCTCTCAGGCGTCCCGGGGCCGGGCGGGGCTGACTCACTCGAGGACGCAGTGCGTGGCCGCCTGTGGGTGGTGGCGATACAGCAGGAGACTCTGGTCCACGCGGATGACGCCGCCGCCCTTCCTGAGGTGCTCGTAGAAGAACAGCAGGTCCTCCGGGACGCCCTGCAGGGCGGGAGAAGCAGAGGCATCACTGGGGCCCCAGAAACGCGTGCCTGCCCCGGATGCACACTACACCTGCGCTCAGCCGGCCAACCAGGAACCGGTGGAAAAGGCTTTTGTTGCAAAGAAACCGGTCTAGAGGCTCAACAGGGACGTGGGGCGGCGACCACAACAGACGTGAGCAACCGAGCTTCTCCACAGGCGGGAAAGAGGGGAAGGGAGGGTGGGCTGGGTCTTGGTTCTGCCCCAAATTCCATTTTGAGCAGTAAAGGTCTCAGGGCAAAGAGGAAGACAGGCAGCCGAGGAAAGGGGCTGGGGTGGGTCAGGGTCTCACAGCCACGGCTCCTGGATGGCTGGTCCGGCCTCCGTCCCCATCCTTTCCTGCCAGTGGCTGCAGCCCCAGAAGCTCAAGGGACTCAAAGTGCCGACTGTGGGCAGAGGACAGTGGTGCTGGGTGGGCGTGTGGGGCTGCGGGCAGGGGAGCCCAGCAGTGGGGAGGCAGCCCCGGGCCTGTGCCAGCCCTGCTCACTTGTCCAAGCTCAGAAACTTGAACCTCAGCCCACGGGGCTTATCCCCGAACACTCCCTCCATGTCAGTGGGACTCTGCTCCAGAACATTCTGCAGGCATTCCCACCAGACTTTTCTGTCCTGTGAGAACCTGGGCCCTGCTTTCCCCGGCCCATGATCCCAGTGGCCCCTGCCCTCTGCTTGCTCCTCTCCTGGGTGACCCCAATCCTCAGCCCAGGGCTCTGGGCCTTGTGTGGAGCCGGGCCCCTGTCGCTTTCTTAAATTCAAACAAAACTGAGGGAGGAGCAGGGCGTGGAGTCTGGTCTCCTCGTGGTTCTCTGCGGCAGCTCACCTGGGTCAGCCGCCCGGAGACACCTTTGCTCCAGGAAAGGGCAGGTTTTCTGAGAGCCTAGCAGCAGGGCCAGTCTATCACCAAGTCCAGCCTCTTCTCTCCTTGGCTGGTACACAAACTTCAAGTGCAGGTCAGTAAAGTCCCCAAACTATCACGGCCCAACCGCTGGCCTGTTTGCTCCCAGGACAGACAGGCAGTGCTATGGTTCCACGTCCAAAAAAAAGGCACTGTTTAACCTCCGCCTCTCCAGGGCGATCCCTTTTACAAAAACCACGATGACATGGAAAGATTTGTAAGAAGATGCTGAGTCAAAGAACAGACCTCAAAATCATGTGTCAGCCCTGCTAAAAGTTTATCCACCATAAGATAAAGACAAAGGAATCACAGAAGCCCACATGCTGTCTCACACGGGTGATTTAGGGTGGAGGGTCCCGCGGGTGCTGGTGGACACGGACCCTCACACGGGTGATTTAGGGTGGAGGTTCCTGTGGGTGCTGGTGGGCACGGACCCTCACACGGGTGATTTAGGGTGGAGGCTCCCGCGGGTGCTGGTGGACACGGACCCTCGCAGGGGTCACTGAGGTATTTTCTTTAATTTTCTGTGTCTTCAAAGGCAGCTCTAAAGAGCACTGGAACTCTCAACATGTTACAGGTTTAAGAAGAGAAAAAAGGTTTCTCTCTTCCTATCACCAGAAGAGCCCGACCCTTGGGGTTTTCTTATTTTCTGGCAGTAAAGTGAGAATTTAGTCAACAGCCGCTCCCGGGTGGTGCCTCTGCCCTGGGAGGAGGGGGACGCAGAGGATCTGTCCCATTTTTCTCCCCTCCCCTGATTGCTGCTGCTGAGACCTGAGAGGCCCGAAATGGCCTCACTCCTCCCCCAGGCTTTTCCCAATCAGCCTCCAGGTGCCTGGACTGCCCTGTGGTGTGGAGGACCCCTGGCGGGGCGCAGGGAGAGGGGGAGGGGTCACAACCCAGAAAGGCATCAGGGAAGAAGCCGAGTGGAGGAAGTGTGGCCGCCGCCCAGCCCCAATCTGCTCACAGAACCATCCTCGGGCAGCCTTGGGGGATGGAGCACCCAGAACTGCCTGGAGGAGAAAAGCGTGAGCTAAAGCCACTCCCAGGAAGGCCGGGCCAGAGGCTGTGGAGACTCGGATCCTGAGGCAAAAGGAAGCCGAGTCAGGGACGCGCTTCCTTCCCCAGGGCTCGTCCCCAGCGCCACCCGCCCTTCTCTAGAGCCCCATCCCCAGCGCGAACCTCCAGGAGGAAGCAGCAGTCACCACGCGGGGACAGAAGGGGGAGAGCTCGAGCCAGGGCCCAGCGATTGGAGTCCGCGGAACGCAGGGACATGAAGTCCAGCAGAGAAAACTAAAAACTGGCAACACTTCCATGGATAAAAATTCAGCCTCTCCCTCTACAATAGCAACAAACCCCAAACCAGGAAACAGAGACCCCTGTAAATAACCCACCAAGATAAATTCCACACCCTCCACCAGTGTTTCAGGCTACAGGGTGGGATATGCGGGGAGGTGGCGGAGACCCATCTTGAATCAGAAATTCAAGGACTAAGTGCAAAACTGGACCCTAATGGGGTGGGTCTAGAGCATTGAAGAAAGTGCATTAGTGCTTGGCTAGGGCTGGCAGGTGGCTGTTAGATGAGGTGCGCCCCTGGGTGCAGGAAGTGTTTTTTGGGGGATGACAACTTCCTAACATTAGATGGTAGTGGTGACTGGTGATTGTACAGCCCTATAAATTTGCTAAAAAAAAATTGAATTGCACATTTTAATAGGTGAATTGTATGGCATGTGAATTATACCTCAATAAAGCTTTTATATAAAATTGGATCGATTTAACTAAAAAAAGAAATTTTAAGAAGAGACAAAATTGGTTGGGTGTGGTGGCTCATGCCTTTAATCTCAGCACTTTGGAAGGCTGAGGTGGGGGGGGTGGATTGCTTGAGCCCAGGAGTTCGAGACCAGCCTGGGCAACATGTCGAAACCAGTCTCTACCAAAAATAGGAAAAAAGTAGCTGGGCATGGTTGTGTGCACCTGTAGTCTCAGCTACTCAGGAGGCTGAGGTACAAGGATTGCTTGAACCTGGGAGGCAGAGGTTGTAGTGAGTGAGCCACTGCACTCCAGCCTCAGGAACAGAGTGAGACCCTGTCTCAAAAAAAAAAAAAAAAAAAAGGAACAAAATATATGAAAAATGAAGACTAAATTACAAAATCCTTAAGAGAAAATGATTTTAATTAAAAATTTAATAAGGGACACTGAAGAAAGGAAAATAGAAATTATATAATGAAAGAAGTGAAAAGGGTTAGAAAGACTAAGAAAATCTAACCAACATAGAATTGGAGTTTTTAAAACACAAAAAACAATAGACATAGCTAGTATTTAAAACGGACGCCTACAGGTGCGTCCCACGGGGGATGGGGACACGGACGCCTGCAGGTGCACCCCCACGGGGGGACGGGGACACGGACGCCTGCAGGTGCACCCCACGGGGAGGACGGAGACATGGATGCCTGCAGGTGCACCCCCACGGGGAGGACGGGGACACGGACGCCTACAGGTGCACCCCCACGGGGGGGACGGGGACACAGACGCCTGCAGGTGCACCCCCACGGGGGGACGGGGACACGGACGCCTGCAGGTGCACCCCCACGGGGGGGACGGGGACACGGACGCCTGCAGGTGCACCCCCACGGGGGGATGGGGACACGGACGCCTGCAGGTGCACCCCACGGGGAGGACGGGGACACGGACGCCTGCAGGTGCACCCCCACGGGGGGGACGGTGACACGGACGCCTGCAGGTGCACCCCCACGGGAGGACGGGGACACGGACGCCTGCAGGTGCACCCCCACAGGAGAACGGGGACATGGATGCCTGAACGTGCACTCCCACAGGGAGGACGGGGACATGGACACCTGCAGGTGCACACCCACAGGGAGGACGGGGACATGGACGCCTGCAGGTGCACCCCCATGGGGAGGACGGGGACACGGATGCCTGCAGGTGCACCCCCATGGGGAGGACGGGGACACAGACACCTGCAGGTGCACTCCCACGGGGGGGATGGGGACACAGACGCCTGCAGGTGCACTCCCACGGGGGGGACGGGGACATGGACGCCTGCAGGTGCACCCCCATGGGGGGGACGGGGACACAGACGCCTGCAGGTGCACCCCCGGGGGGAGGATGGGCTCCCCTTCTCCCTCTGTTGTCCCAGAGACAGCTCTGCCAAAAGCTTCCGTGTCCTGCGCTTTCCCAGACACAGCTTTTAAACCAGGATGCAGTAACCTGGAGCCAGTGTAGGTCAGGTGCAGATGCCCAGGGCACCCACAGCCTTCATGCAGAAACCCCCTGCTTTCAGCAAAACAACTAAGATGCTGGCAGGTGCCAGGAGGGGGCACCGGGAGGACCCTCAGGCAGGGGTTTCCTAAATCTGCAGAGCCCCGGAGGCATGGCAAGGCGGAGGGTGGCCAGTGTGCAGAGCCCACACACAGAGACAGGGCCCCGAACCTGGGGGAGGGACCTGATTCCCGCCTTCGGCCCTTACCTGACCTCCCTCGTTAAAGGGGCCCACGTGGGAGAACCACGCTCGCGAGCAGAACCAGGTGGGCATGATCACCGTGGGGCCATTTGAGGTGAAAACCTAGAAGCAATTAACGTTGACAGAGTTAGCGGAAAAGAACAGCTTGTCACAAACAACCTGCAGTTTATTTCCACAAAGTGTCACGAGAAAGTGACAGATGAATCCGTGTCCCTTCTCCACAGGGTCAGGGCCTCAAGAGACTTCACCACGGGGCCGACGTGTCCCTTCTCCACAGGGACGGGGCTCAAGGGGCTTCATGACGTGGCTGACGTGTCCCTTCTCCAGTGCTGTGATCATCACTCACTGTAGCCTTGACCTCCTCAAGCAATCCTCCTATCTCAGCCTCCCAGGTAGCTGGGACCACAGGCGTGTGCCACCACACCTGGCTGATTTTTACTTTTTTTTTTTTTTTGTAGAGATGTTTGTCACTCTGTTGCTCAGGCTGACCTCAAACCCCTGGCCTCAAGCGATCCTCCCACCTGAACCTCCCAAGCAGCTAGGACTATAGGCGCACACCACCGTGCCTGGCTATTTTCTTACATTTCTTTTGTAGAGATGGGGTCTCACTACACTGCTCAGGCTGGTCTTAAACTCCCGGCCTCAAGCGATCCTCCCAGCTCAGCCTCCCAAAGTGCTGGGATTACAGGTGTGAGCCATCATGCCTGGCTCAACGGAGATTCTAAAATGTATATAGAAACACAAAGGACCTAGGAGAGCCAGCACAATTTTGAAAACCATGAACAAAGTTGAAGTTTCATGACTGTATTTCAAGATTTACTACAAAGCTATGGTGATCAAGGTTGATTGGTATCAGCTTATGGGCAGACAGACAAACGGAACAGAACAGAGACCAGAAGCAGAGCCGCCTGGCTGGGGTTTGATGTTTGCTGAAGACATCAGGGGCGTCAGTGGTGGAAATGAGAGATGGCGCTGGAACCACTGGTGTCCTTACAAACCATGGCCCTCAACCCTTGCCTCAGGCTCCAAACACAAAGCCCCAGCCTCAGACCGGACCTCAGTGAGCTGAACACAAAAGAGGCAACGAGCTCATCCAGGGAGAACATTCGTGATTATGGGGTAGGCAAAGGTTTCTCAGGTAAGAAGAGGCACAAATCACAGCAGAAGACATGGATAAACCAGATGCCACCAAAGTCAAATATTTGGTTCTTTGAAAGATCCTGCAAAGAAAACGAAAAGATAATCCAGGCTGGGACAAAACATTTGCAATAAGTGCGTTTCACTGAGGATGTACGTTCGGCGAACACTAAGTACCCTCAGCACCCATTAATAAGAAGACAGGCAATGAGTTAAAGATGGGAGAAGGGCTGAAAACACTTCCTCAGACGTAAATTAGTCAGGTCGTGAAAACGTGCTCTATGTGACTAGTCATCAGGGAAATGAGTTTTCGGTAGGGAAGTCCACCTAACGGCCTCATCTGAACTTTGCATCTGCAAAGACCTTGTTTCCAAACAACGCCCACATTCTGAGATTGGGGGTGAGGACACCAACATATCATTTTGGGGGGACACCATGGAGCCCACGACATTTTCACTTCTTGGGTGGCTGAAGTGATGTTTTCCTATAACTGACACTGAGATTACGCCAGCATCTGTACGTTCCTGGAGGTGCTGTGTGTGTGAACACGCAGGTCAGGCAGAGACACAATGGCTGAGAACCATCGTGTAACACAGCCTCGTCTCACTGTGGATCCCTTTGAAGCCTAAAGACTTTCTGCTTGTCGTCCATCCTGAGGAAGGTCGCTGGTTAAGACAAGTCCTCATCAGCACAGTGGCCCTCACCTGGGGCTGATTTGTCCCCAGGAACATTTGTTTGGAGACATTCGGGGCTGTCACACTGCGGGGGTGGGGGTGCTACGTGCATCTGGTTGCAGATTCCAGAGACAGAGAAATAAAATTCGAACTGCAATGAAATACCATTGCACCCTCTAGGACTGTTACAATTTTAAAAACTGAAAATAAGGCACAGTGACTCACACCTGTAATCCCAGCACTTTGGGAGTCCGAGGCGGGAGAATCGCTTGAGCCCAGGACTCTGAGACCAGCCTGGGCAACTCTACAAATAATAATAATAATAATAAAGTAGCTGGGCATGGTGATGCTCCCCTGTAGGCCCAGCTACTCAGGAGGCTGAGGTGGGAGGATCCTTTGAGCTCCGGAAGTCAAGGGTGCAGTGAGCTGTGATCGCACCACAGCACTCACTCCAGCCTGGGCGACAGAGGGAGACCCTGTCTCTTAAAATATAAAAAGTAAAAATAAAAATAAACACTGACAGTACCAAGTAAAAATCTTACATAACGCTGAAGGGAAGGAAAAACAGTATAAACACTTTGCAGAGCAGGCAGGCTCTTAGAGAGTTAAACACAGACTTCCACGCAGCCAGCCGTTCCAGTCCTAGACATTTACCCAAGAAAAATGCAAACACACGTCCATCCGGCACCATCCATGTGTGTTCACGGCAGCCCCAGCACCCGTCCCCGTGTGTTCACGGCAGTCCCAGCACCGTCCCCGTGTGTGTTCACGGCAGCTCCACGCACAGCAGCCCCAGACTGGAGGCCCCCAAATGTCCGTCAACAGTGAATGGATAAGCCCTGTGGTGCCCGTACCACGAGTCCAGTGGAGCCCTCACCAGCAACCAAGGGAACAAACTGCCGGTCAGGGCAGCACAGATGTCTGTCGGCAACAGGGAAGGGAGGCAGTCACCAGTGTGCACGGTGCACAGATGTCTGTCAGCAACAGGGAAGGGAGGCCAGTCACCAGTGTGCACGGTGCACAGATGTCTGTCAGCAACAGGGAAGGGAGGCCAGTCACCAGTGTGCACGGTGCACAGATGTCTGTCGGCAACAGGGAAGGGAGGCAGTCACCAGTGTGCACAGTGTGACCCCACTTACACAAAACCCTAAAAAGTGGGAACCTAACCTAACCTGCAGGGACAGACGTCGCATCTGTGGACGCCTAAGGCTGAGGGTGCCTGGGCCTGACTGCAAAGGCATAGCCTTAAAATTTGTCTTGTTGGCCGGGCGCGGTGGCTCACGTCTGTAATCCCAGCACTTTTGGAGGCTGAGGCGGGCGGATCACTTGAGGTCGGGAGTTCGAGACCAGCTTGACCAACATGGAGAAACCCCGTCTTTACTAAAAATACAAAATTAGCCAGGCATGGTGGCACATGCCTGTAATCCCAGCACTTTGGGAGGCTGAGGTGGGCGGATCACCTGAGGTCAGAAGTTTGAGACCAGCCTGGCCAATGTGGTGAAACCCCATCTCTACTGAAAATATAAAAATTAGCTGGGCGTGGTGGCAGGTGCCTGTAGTCCCAGCTACTCTGGAGGCTGAGGCAGGAGAATCGCTTGAACCCAGGAGGCGGAGGTTGCAGTGAGCCAAGATTGTCATTGCACTATAACCTGGGTAACAGAGCAAGACTCCATTTCAGGAAAAAAAAAAAAAAAGAAAAGAAAATTTATTTTGTTTTGTTTTGAGACAGAGTCTCGCTCTGTCGCCCAGGCTGGAGTGCAGTGGCGCGATCTCAGCTCACTGCAACCTCTGCCTCCCGCATTCAAGCGATTCTTGTGCCTCGGCCATCGGAGTAGCTGGGACTACAGGTGTGCACCACCACGCCTGGCTGATTTTTGTATTTTAGTAGGGACAGGGTTTCGCTACATTGCCCAGGGCTGATTTTTGTATTTTTAGTAGGGACAGGGTTTCGCTACGTTGCCCAGGCTGGTCTTGAACTCCTGGCCTCAGGTGATCCACCTGCCTCGGCCTCCCAAAGTGCTGGGATTACAGGCGTGAGCCACTGCCCCGGCCTAAGTAAAAATTTTAAAGCCCAGCGTGGTGGTGCACGCGCCAGTGGTCCCAGCAGAGAGGCTGAGGTGGGAATTCGAGCCTCGCCTGAGGCCAGGAGTTTGAGGCTACAGTATGCTGTGCTTACACCTGTCAACAGCCACTGCACACCAGCCTGGGCAACATAGCAAGACCCCATCTTTTAAATTTTTTTTTTATACAGAGTCTTGCTGTTACCCAGGCTGGAATGCAGTGGCGTGATCACAGCTCACTGCAGCCTCAACCTCCCCGGCTCAAGCGCTCCTCCTGCCTCAGCCTCCTGAGAAGATGGGACTACAGGTGTGGACCAGCACACCTTGCTAATTTTTGTATTTTTTGTTGAGATGGGGTTTCACCATATTGCCCAGGCTGGTCTTGAACTCCTGAGCTCAAGTGATCCACCCACCTTGGCCTCCCAAAGTTGTGGGACTCTGGGTGTGAGTCACCGTGCCTGGCCAAAAATTAAAAAAAAAAGTCTTTGCTACCACCAAGGAAACTCTCAGAACGAACATTTTAAAGTGAAATAACGCAGTTCTATGGGATAACTTCGAGCAACCTACGTTTCGCACATCAAAGCTTTGGTGCTTCTGCGTCGTGACAGGTGGGTGCCTGTCACACAGGGTGCCCCCTGGGACATCAGGAAGAGCCCCGAGGGGGTCCTGGAAGCCAGGCCAGCCAAGGCCACAGCACCTGGTGCCAGTTCCAGGCAGGGGGCTTGGCACATCCGTGAATACCCCACGGGCCCCGAGGCCCCCTGAGAGGCTGCAGTTTCCAGCAAATGTGAAACATCTGCCCGGACAAATACAGCCTTCCCTCAACCCTCAGAAAAACGGATTTCACGATTACAAAGCAACCATTTAGCTTCCTGTTCTCAACTTTTGCTTGCTGAAAAATCCAGAGGCATTTTCTGGCAGGTTGACTCTGCAGCCAGACACCTGGAGCTTCTGCCGTTTGCACGGTGGTGAGGACGACCTGAGAAAACAAACACAGGTCCTCCCCACCCAGCGTGGCCGCGACCTCCGCACCCGGCGTGGCCGCGACCTCCGCACCCGGCGTGGCTGCGACCTCCGCACCCGGCGTGGCCGCGACCTCCCCACCCGGCGTGGCCGCGACCTCCGCACCCGGCGTGGCCGCGACCTCCGCACCCGGCGTGGCCGTGATGCGAGGCCTCTGCACACGGTGGCTGTGCCCTGGTCACGTGGCCGAAGCCCTGGAGCTGTGGCAGGTCCTCCGTGGGCTGTGAGTGTGAAATACACATGACATTCTGGAGACTTGGTATAGGAAAAAGAATGTAAAATGTCACTGATAGGACATTTGGCTCATGCTTCTGGTTGGGGTATGTCCAAGACCGGGCAGCTGCCTTTGCGGGGGGCCTCAGGCTGCTTTAACCCGGGTGGAGAGCGGAAGGCAGTGGTGTACGCAGAGAGCATGTGGCAAGGGAGGACGCAGGAGAGAAACCGAGGCAGCCGGGTCCGTTCCACAGGTCGGCGTCGTGGGGCGCAGTGCGTTCCTGCGAGGGCTCACTCAGCGCTGTGGGAGGCATTCATCCGTGCACAAGGGGTCCCCTCGAGACCCCAGCACCTCCCACACAGCCACGCTGGGGGTCAAATTTCAACGTTTCACGGGGACAAACCACATCCAAACCACGGCAATTATATCCAGGCCGGTCTGTGCTCACGGGACGTTTCTATCGGACAGAATTACGCATCTGTCTGCAAAACAGCTCAATCCATTCTTTAGTGACAACGATCCAGAAACAAGAGCATAAGGACGCGCACAGACACCGTGAGGACGGAGCAGGGACACGGGCTCCGCCAGCTCCAGGGAGGGGCTCAGTCAGCACAGAGCACTAGGGGCTGCACCTGAACTGCCAGGCGCCCGGCGAGTCCTCCAAGCATGGGCAAGCGCTGGGGTGGGGGCAGCTCCGTGGCAGCGACTGGGGCCAGCCACGCGCCGTCTCCTCCCTGGGGCCTCCGAGTGGGAAACCAAGGCGAGGACCAGCAGAAAGAAAGGCTGGGAAGGAGGCGTGGGGGCTACTGTGCCAACCACACCACACTCATAGGGGCCAGAAGGACCCGGTACTGACCACACCACACCACAGGGGCCAGAAGGACCTGGTGCCGACCACACCACACCACAGGGGCCAGAAGGACCTGGTGCCCACCACACCACACCACAGGGGCCAGAAGGACCTGGTGCCGACCACACCACACCACAGGGGCCAGAAGGACCTGGTGCCGACCACACCACACCACAGGGGCCAGAAGGACCTGGTGCCCACCACACCACACCACAGGGGCCAGAAGGACCTGGTGCCGACCACACCACACCACAGGGGCCAGAAGGACCTGGTGCCGACCACACCACACCACAGGGGCCAGAAGGACCTGGTGCCGACCACACCACACCACAGGGGCCAGAAGGACCTGGTGCCGACCACACCACACCACAGGGGCCAGAAGGACCTGGTGCCGACCACACCACACCACAGGGGCTAGAAGGACCTGGTGCCGACCACACCACACCACAGGGGCTAGAAGGACCTGGTGCCGACACACCACACCATGGGCCAGAAGGACCTGGTGCCGACCACACCACACCACAGGGGATAGAAGGACCTGGTACTGACCACACCACACCACGGGCCAGAAGGACCTGGTGCCGACACACCACACCATGGGCCAGAAGGACCTGGTGCCGACCACACCACACTCATAGGGGCCAGAAGGACCCGGTACTGACCACACCACACCACAGGGGCCAGAAGGACCTGGTACTGACCACACCACACCACAGGGGCCAGAAGGACCTGGTACTGACCACACCACACCACAGGGGATAGAAGGACCCAGTACTGACCACACCACACCACAGGGGCTAGAAGGACCTGGTGCCGACCACAGCACACCACAGGGGCTAGAAGGACCTGGTGCTGACCACACCACACCACAGGGGCTAGAAGGACCTGGTGCCGACACACCACACCATGGGCCAGAAGGACCTGGTGCCGACCACACCACACCACAGGGGATAGAAGGACCTGGTACTGACCACACCACACCACGGGCCAGAAGGACCTGGTGCCGACACACCACACCATGGGCCAGAAGGACCTGGTGCCCACCACACCACACTCATAGGGGCCAGAAGGACCCGGTACTGACCACACCACACCACAGGGGCCAGAAGGACCTGGTACTGACCACACCACACCACAGGGGATAGAAGGACCCAGTACTGACCACACCACACCACAGGGGCTAGAAGGACCTGGTGCCGACCACAGCACACCACAGGGGCTAGAAGGACCTGGTGCCGACCACACCACACTCATAGGGGCCAGAAGGACCCGGTACTGACCACACCACACCACAGGGGCCAGAAGGACCCGGTACTGACCACACCACACTCATAGGGGCCAGAAGGACCTGGGGCTGTGAGCGGAAGGGGCTGGAGAGTTCTGGAACGCTTCCCCGAAGGAGGGGGCCCCTGTGTCACACACAGCACGGAGCTCTGATGCCTTCGTGTGCTCCCGCGGCTGCCAGCCTGGACAGGGCCATGTGCACAGCCTTGGGGCCACCGCCCACTCACAAGCCCAGGCCTGGGGCTCACACAGGACAGAAAATGGAAGCACAGACACTGTACCGAGACCAAAGGAACCGAAAGGAGAAAAGGGCAAACCCACAATGAAAGCTGGAGACGCCCTGGTGGTCTGTTAACAGGAGGACGAGTAGACACAAAGCAAATAACGACTCTGAAGATTGAAAACACCTGTGACCATCTGTGGGTTTTTCAATTTCATGATTGATAATTGATTAGAGCGAGGTAAAATCACTGAGCTATGAAGGACAAACTTTTAAGGAAAAGAAACACGGAGATACGGAACTGATAACATTTCAGTCTTTCATATAGACCAGGCCGGTTTTCACGGTCTTCCCGGGGAGCAGCGCTCCTGAGAATGGAAAAGGAGATGAAAAGCTTTTTCCAGCAGCACATGACGCCCGGGCAGGATTGGAGTCCGGCTCTCACCTGGCACCTGGTCCTTGGGTGTCGTGGAGGCAGGCGGGGTGGGGTGGGGGTGGACTCAGCCTCTTCCTGCTCCTGGGACACAGGAGGGAACCTGGTGCAACCGAAGCCTACACCGCGGGAACCACACACTGAGTTCGGAGCCGGCTAAGAAGTTACCTGCGTGTAGTTGTAAGCGTCAAACGAGCGGGCACAGAGCAGCCAGCACCCTTGAATCTTACGAACAGTCGGACTGGGTCCCAGAGAGGTGACCCAAAGGGGATGGAGCTCAGGGGCTCTCAGGCAGTGGCCCCACAATGGCGCTGGGGCTGCTAAGAGATGCCTTAGGATTCAACTCCTCTCCCGTGTGGACAGGAGAGAGTGGCAGAGACCCAGGTGGGCCCCGTGTACCTGTGTGTTCCCACCCCGCCTGCCACTGACCAGCAAGCAGCCCAGCCCCTTGCCCCATGGGGCGCGTTTCACCGTGGGTCGAGAGGGTGTCGTGGACCAGCACTCCACGCTCCATGGGCGACTGCCACTGCAGTGCTGTTTCTGCCCCTCGGAGAGTTCTCCTGCCCCTTGGGCCTCCCTGCCTCCAGTCTGAGCCGGTTCCAGGCTGTCCTCTACGGAGCTGGCAGAAGGTCCCACTTCCACTCTCCTGGTCCTCCCTGGCTCCTCATCAACCCTCAGCACCAAGCGTGGGCCCCACAGGTTTGGGGAACGCGTGCTGACTGAGGCCGCCCGGGTGGCCGGCGCTGACAAGCTGACCCTGGACACTGTGCGTGACAACCACACAGGCCCCCTGAGGTGAAGGACGAGCTTGGCTGAACGCTGGCCGCCTCGAGCAGAGGCCCAGGGCCCAGAGGTGGCTCAGTCTCAGCAGAACACAGCTGCCCTCAGGAGCTGCCCGCAAAGCAGCCAGCAGATTCAGGCGGGGCGGAGTCAGGGCGGACTTGGTGCCTCCCCAAGGGGTCAGGCAGAGCTGCGTCCCCTCGTGAGGGACAGGAGTGAGGCAGGAGGCTGCCAGCTGCCTGTTCCCATCCTGATCATATTTGCGGAGTGAGCTCAGGCTGTAAATGACCCTCTGACTGCTTGTGTGTGGGGATCCACCCAGGGTCTAATCAGCACATTCACCCCCCACAGCGGGTGTCCCTGGCCCCACATCAAGGCTGAGGGTGTGGGGGGCCACATTCCCTTCCAGTCTGAACTGGACCCTGGGGGTGAGCTGGGTCCCCCCCACAGCTTGGAACAGCGGCAGGAGGCACAGGCAGGCTGGGAACCAGTGTCTGCACGGCGCAGACAGGCACAGGTGGAAGCAGGCAAAGAACGTGGGGCTGGGACAGAGCCCGACTCCATCCTCCCAGGGGCCGGAGGCCACTTATGGGGAACCAGGGCCCCAGGACAGAGCCGGACTCCATCCTCCCAGGGACCGGAGGCCACTATGGAGAGTCAGGGCCCCGGGACAGAGCCGGACTCCATCCTCCCAGGGGCCGGAGGCCACTTATGGGGAACCAGGGCCCCAGGACAGAGCCCGACTCCATCCTCCCAGGGACCAGAGGCCACTATGGAGAGTCAGGGCCCCGGGACAGAGCCGGACTCCATCCTCCCAGGGGCCGGAGGCCACTTATGGGGAACGAGGGCCCCGGGACAGAGCCGGACTCCATCCTCCCAGGGACCAGAGGCCACTATGGAGAGTCAGGGCCCCGGGACAGAGCCGGACTCCATCCTCCCAGGGGCCGGAGGCCACTTATGGGGAACGAGGGCCCCGGGACAGAGCCGGACTCCATCCTCCCAGGGACCAGAGGCCACTATGGAGAGTCAGGGCCCCGGGACAGAGCCGGACTCCATCCTCCCAGGGACCAGAGGCCACTATGGAGAGTCAGGGCCCCGGGACAGAGCCGGACTCCATCCTCCCAGGGGCTGGAGGCCACTTATGGGGAACGAGGGCCCCGGGACAGAGCCGAACTCCATCCTCCCAGGGACCAGAGGCCACTATGGAGAGTCAGGGCCCCGGGACAGAGCCGGACTCCATCCTCCCAGGGACCAGAGGCCACTATGGAGAGTCAGGGCCCCGGGACAGAGCCGGACTCCATCCTCCCAGGGACCAGAGGCCACTATGGAGAGTCAGGGCCCCGGGACAGAGCCGGACTCCATCCTCCCAGGGACCAGAGGCCACTATGGAGAGTCAGGGCCCCGGGACAGAGCCGGACTCCATCCTCCCAGGGACCAGAGGCCACTATGGGGAACGAGGGCCCCGGGACAGAGCCGGACTCCATCCTCCCAGGGGCCGGAGGCCACTTATGGGGAAACAGGGCCCCAGGACAGAGCCCGACTCCATCCTCCCAGGGGCCGGAGGCCACTTATGGGGAACGAGGGCCCCGGGACAGAGCCAGACTCCATCCTCCCAGGGACCAGAGGCCACTATGGAGAGTCAGGGCCCCGGGACAGAGCCGGACTCCATCCTCCCAGGGGCTGGAGGCCACTTATGGGGAACGAGGGCCCCGGGACAGAGCCGGACTCCATCCTCCCAGGGGCTGGAGGCCACTTATGGGGAAACAGGGCCCCAGGACAGAGCCCGACTCCATCCTCCCAGGGGCCGGAGGCCACTTATGGGGAACGAGGGCCCCGGGACAGAGCCAGACTCCATCCTCCCAGGGACCAGAGGCCACTATGGAGAGTCAGGGCCCCGGGACAGAGCCGGACTCCATCCTCCCAGGGACCAGAGGCCACTTATGGGGAAACAGGGCCCCAGGACAGAGCCGGATTCCATCCTCCCAGGGGCTGGAGGCCACTTATGGGGAACGAGGGCCCCGGGACAGAGCCGGACTCCATCCTCCCAGGGACCAGAGGCCACTATGGAGAGTCAGGGCCCCGGGACAGAGCCGGACTCCATCCTCCCAGGGACCAGAGGCCACTATGGAGAGTCAGGGCCCCGGGACAGAGCCGGACTCCATCCTCCCAGGGGCCAGAGGCCACTTATGGGGAAACAGGGCCCCAGGACAGAGCCCGACTCCATCCTCCCAGGGGCCGGAGGCCACTTATGGGGAACAAGGGCCCCGGGACAGAGCCGGACTCCATCCTCCCAGGGACCAGAGGCCACTATGGAGAGTCAGGGCCCCGGGACAGAGCCGGACTCCATCCTCCCAGGGACCAGAGGCCACTATGGAGAGTCAGGGCCCCGGGACAGAGCCGGACTCCATCCTCCCAGGGACCAGAGGCCACTATGGAGAGTCAGGGCCCCGGGACAGAGCCGGACTCCATCCTCCCAGGGACCAGAGGCCACTATGGAGAGTCAGGGCCCCGGGACAGAGCCGAACTCCATCCTCCCAGGGACCAGAGGCCACTATGGAGAGTCAGGGCCCCGGGACAGAGCCGGATTCCATCCTCCCAGGGGCTGGAGGCCACTTATGGGGAACGAGGGCCCCGGGACAGAGCCGAACTCCATCCTCCCAGGGGCCGGAGGCCACCGTCAGGGAGTCAGGGCCCCAGGTGGCCCCAGGCAGGGAGGCCGGAAGACAGTCCTGCTGACCCGCAGTGCCCACCTCGAAGGCCACGGCAGGGGAGAAACTTAACGTAAGCCAAACGCTGGCCCACTGAACAAAGGGAGGCAGAGGAACACTGGGAAACGTATTCTCTATTAGAAGGAAAGATCGAGGACACCCATGAACGGAGGCCCGAAAGCAAGAGGAAAGGGGCTTACAGGCCGCGAAGTCGGAACCTGCGTGAATAAGGACAGCTGCGGCGCCGCCCCGACACGGACCGTGTTTGCATCCGTGACTTTAAAACGGCTTGAGGATGGAACCCCATGAACAGTAACACCCCCCACCCACCGGAGTATTCAGGAGTGACTGAGGTCGGGTCTGGGGTTGCTTCGAAAGACTCCGGGTGCTCAGTGTTGGGAGGGGGGTGAGTACCGTTATGTGACAGTGGTCTCTACCCCTTGGTGTACTTAACATTTTCAACAAAAAAAAACTTTTCTTTGTTTAAAAGCACTCATGGGTATCTGGAACGCAGCTACAGTGGGGAGCGAGCAACGCCCCAATCCTCAGGCTCTCCGGGGGGTCTGGGGTGCAACTCGAAACCCACCGCTGGTGACTCCCACTTCTGGTCACCGTGAAAGAGCTGGACCACTCTCCCTCCTCAGACAACTAGAAAATCACACAGAATCTGTGAAATGGAGGTGTTCAGGCACTGGACGCAGGGCAGGACGGTGACGCCCGAGAGGAGAAGCCGGCTGATTCCAGTCTGGGACCGAGGGGGGTGGAACGAGGCCTCAGAACAGCCTCGTTTTCACGCTGCCCATGTCACACACGAGCATGGAAACGTACGCTCTAGTACTTCCTGCGGTTTCTGTCTTCTCATCACCGGGGTTTGGTGCCCAGCATTTCCGCTCCATCCCGACCGATGTGCACTCCTGTTTTCCGTTTCCCAAGCTCCTCCTGCCCTGGGGCTTGGCTGGAGGTTCCCACAGGTGGTGGCAGTGGGTGGTCACCATGCGACCCGGGCCACCTCTGGTTACGTGGAGGGCATCAGGTGTTTTCCGTTGCTCCCCGAGTAATTCCGTAATTTTAAAAAAGCACGTGCTGTTTGTACCTAAAATCCTTTATTTCTATAAAAACAAGCCACGCGTGGCCTTTCCTTTCCCGGCTCCCAGGGCTGAACTCCCCTGCCTCCTCCTGGGGTCCCTTCTGCTTCTCCCCCAGGCTGCGAGTCTGTGAGTCCCATCTCACACCTTCCTCAGTTTGCTTCCTAATTTTAGGGACTGGCTCCAGCAAAGCCCCGAGGAAGGTTTTATCGGAGATGGATATGTTGAATCTGAATATGAAAAGGTTGTTATATCTCTGCACGTGATTGACACTTTGGTGAGGCATAAAATTCTTAGTTCAAAATCCTTTCTGTGAGAAATCTGAAACTAGTGTCCTGGTGTCTCCTGGATTCCGCTGCTGTGAGTGAGGAATTCCGGGCTCTTCGATTCCTGCTCCTTGGTGTTCCTCCCTCTGACTGTGCTTGGGCTCTGAAGCATCCCGACCGTGAACCCGGATGCAGGTCTCATTTCCTGCACGCAACACCAGGTGAGCCCTTCTAATCAGGTCACTCGTACGTTTTGGTTCTAGGAAATTTTTCTGTATTTTTCTTAGTTAATTTACTTCCTTCTATTTTTTAAAAAATCTGATTTTGCTATGTTGGACCAGTTGAAGCTGGGAGTGAAGTTTCTCAGAATGCCCTTCTCAGTACGAATCCAGTTGAGTCTAGAGACAAGGAGGAAGACGCCATTGCTCCCACATGTCAAGGGCCTGGTGAGTCTTCTCCACAACCCCAGCAATCAGCAGCAGCCCCACCCACTTCCCAATAATCCATGGGCCAAAGAGGAAGTCTCAAAAGAAATCTAAAATGTATTGACCAAAATGAAAATGGAAGTACATTGAAAACCTGTACAATGCGGCTGATGTAGTATGTAAAGGGAAGTTGCTGGCTCTACATGCTTACATTAAAAGAGAAGAGAGGTCTGAGGTCAAAAAACTCAGCTTCCACATTAGAAAAACCACAAAGGAAGAGCAAAATGACACCCCAAAGCAAGCAGAAAAAAGAAACAATCAGGCAGAAATGAATGAAATTGAAAACAGAAAAACAATAGAGGAAAGTCAAACCAAGAGCTGGCTCTTTGAAGAGATTAATAAAATAGATAATAAACCAAGACTGATAAAAAAGTGAGAGGACCCAAATAACTAATACCTAAAATGAAAGGGGATATTACTACAGGCCTCACAGATACTAAACGCATCACAGAGAATACTATCAAATAACCCTAAACACACAAACTGGATAATTTAGAGCAAGTGGATCAATTCCTCAAAAATCGCAAGCTGCCAGAGCTGTAAGTTGCATTATACCAAGACGAAATAGAGTCTGAACAGTCCTGTAACTTTTAGGTATACGTTTCTGTAAGTTAGCAGTGGACAATTAGAAACCAAAATTAAACACACAGTAGCATGTATA
Source organism: Homo sapiens (assembly GCF_000001405.40). Lineage (NCBI taxonomy): Eukaryota > Metazoa > Chordata > Mammalia > Primates > Hominidae > Homo > Homo sapiens. The sequence continues at coordinate 121,933 of NT_187612.1, read as the reverse complement.
ATTGCCTAAAACAAATACTTAGGTATAAATCTAACAAATGTACAGGACTTGTACACTAAAAACTACAACATGTGAATGAAGGAAATCGAGGAAAATTTCAGTGGAGGACGGGACAAATAGTGAATTGGAAAACTCTATAGTAAAGATGTCAACTCTATACAAATTGATTTGTAAGTTTAACTCACTTGCTATGAAAATCTCAGCTAGATTCTTTGTAAATATAGGCAAGCTGATTCTAAAATTTATATACAGAGGCAGAAATACTAGAATAGCCAAAAACAAGTTAGAGGAAACACATTAACCAATTTTAAGACCTGGTCATCAAGATGATGTTACTGGTGGAGGGACAGACACACAGGTCAATGGACTAGAACAAAGTCCAGGAACAGACAGACCCACACTCTGTGGTCAGATGGTTTTTTGACAAGGCCCAGAAGCAACCAGTGGAAGAAGGATTTTCAGCAAAATCAGTGTAGAAACATGTGGGCATTCATAAGCCAAAACGAACAAACAAAACCCTTGATTTAAACCTCACACTAACTCAGCCTACAAGGACATAGCTCTAAATGTAAAATGTAAAACTATAAAACTTTTAGAAGAAAATCCTTATGTCCTAGGGTTAGGTGAAGTAGTCTTGGGTGTTGACACTCAAAGCATATTAAAAAAATACATCAAAAAATATCAATTAATTGGACTTCATCAAAATTAGAAACTTTTGTTCTGTGAAAAATTCTACGTGGATGAAAAGGGAAGCCCCCACGTAGAAAAGGCTGTTTTTCCTCTGCTCTCCCACCACAATGTGCGGGTCTGTTCTCCATACACCAAGCAAACCATCAGTTCTGGAGTAGACACCAGTCAGGCATCCTCTAACTCAATCCCAACACCATCTACCTGGAGACAGCCTCAGACCCCCCCAGGTGAGGGCTCAGTCCCCGTGACCCCTTCTCTTCAACTTCCAATGCCAACTGAAGTCCCAGGCTGTTTGACCCTCCAGCTATAAATCGGGGTTCCCACAACCTCTTCCTTGGATTCAGTTAATTTTCTAGAGGGACCCACAGAATTCAGGGAAACACTTACTTACACCTACCAGTTTATTAAAAAGAATGTTATTCAAGGATACAGATGAAGAGATGACGGGGAAAGGTATGGGGGAAGTGGTGTAGACGGTCTAGGTCCTCTTGGGGCCCAACACCCTCCAGGACCCTGCATGTGTTCAGCCATCTGGAAGTCCCCGAGGCTCGTCCCTTTGGGTTACTGTACGAGTTCATGATGTAGGTGTGGTTGCGTAGCTCGTGGGCCATTGCTGATCACCCTAAGCCTCAACCCCTTTCCCTCCCCGGAGGTTTGGGGGTGGGGCTCAAAGTTCCAACCCTCTGAGCACATGGCTGGTTCCCCTGGCAACCAGCCCCCCTCATCCTGCGGTATCTAGGGGTGTTCCAAAAATGCCTCATTAACATAAACTCAGGTGTGTTTGAAGGAACTTGTAAACAAAAGACTCTTCCAGCTTTATCTTTCAGAATTTACTTCAGAAACCAAGGACAAAAGGCTCAATACTTTAAAAGATATTCTTATTGCTCTAGTTACTTAGGAAATAATTACAGGGGGTCAGAGTCAGGGATCCTGGATAAAACGCCAAATCCATGATCCTAGTTCCAGCCACAGATCAGGAGGAAATGAGGTAGGCCCTTTAGCAATACAGGGTTTAGGGTGACCCACTCCCCATGCAGCCGAAAATCCACGTATAACCTTGGACTCCCCCAAAACTTAAGCACTGAGAAACAAAAGTGGCTCAGAGGAGTCGGCGCCACGCGAGGTATTCACCAGCCCCAGCGGAGCTGCGAGGGTGAGACCTGCATCATGCCTCCCCCGCCGCACCCATGTGGGGCCAACTGTTTAAAGGCATTTGTCTTCCTTTCCTTCCCTGTTGTTTCCAGGCTGGCTGAAAAATCACAAGAAATGTTACACAAGTTAGACAATGTGACCTTCACCCATTATCTTCATGCTCCTGGAATCTGTGATGCAAAGAACCATCTACAGCCAGTCAATAGCTTATGTTATTTTAATGAACCAGTGTGGGAACTTGCCCCTTCTTTCTTTCTTTCAAACCCACTGTAACTGCTGCTAACTGGAGCATATGTTCGGAGCCACCTGAATCTACGTCCCCCAGGATGCCGTCCTCACACGTGGCCCAAATAAACCCTCCACATGTACTAACTTTGCCTCAGCATCTTTCTTTAGGTTGACATGGCTGAGAGCCTACTGTTGACCGGATGCCTTACCAATAACATAAACAGGTGATCAACATTGTCCTGTACATTCTGTACGTTTTGTGTATTATATACCGTATTCTTACAATGAAGTAAGCTGGAGAAAAGAAAGTGTTACTAAGAAAATCATAAGGAAGAGAAAACACATTGACTATTCATTAAATGGAAGTGGATCATCACAAAGGCCTCCAACCTTCTCACCTCCGTGGTGATGGGCCGAGCGGGTGGAGGAGCCTCCATCTTTCTCACCTCCGTGGTGATGGGCCAAGCGGGTGGAGGAGCCTCCATCCTTCTCACCTCCATGGTGATGGGCCAAGCGGGTGGAGGAGCCTCCATCCTTCTCACCTCTGTGGTGATGGGCCGAGCGGGTGGAGGAGCCTCCATCCTTCTCACCTCTGTGGTGATGGGCCGAGCGGGCCGAGGAAGGAGGGTTCTTGCTGTCCCGGGTGTCAGTTCATCTGCGACTTTTTTCAAATTGTCATAAATCTCCAAAACATTTTCCAATATATTTATTTTTAAAACTCGTGTGTAAGTGGACTCCCAGTTCACACTCATGTTATTCAAGGATCAAATGTACTTGCAAGTTTTATCTCCAATGGAGGTCTTATGTCCAGAAGAAAACGCTCAGATTCAACAACAAAACCAGTAATGTAATTGGAAAATGAGCCCACAAAAGGGCCTCACGGAGATCCTCTTCCCTCCCGCCACGTGAATGGGATCAGAGCCCACGAAAGGGCCTCACAGAGAGCCTTGTCCCTCCCACCACGTGAGGACACGGTGAGAACCAGGAATCAGGCCTCACAGAGACCAAATCTGGTGCCTTGATCTGGGACTCCAGCTTCCAAAACGGTGGAAACAGATGTTTGTAGTTTATAAGCCACCCAGTTTATGGTATTTTTGTCCTAGCAGCCTGGACAGACTAGGACAGGTCAGGAGAAAATGTGACTCTAAAGGCAGTTTCTCCGGGTGATGGGACCCTCGATGTCCTGATTGTCGTGTTGATCTGGAAACATGGGGACGTCTCACAGAACTCCCTCCACCAAGAATAAGTGAACTGCATGGGGTCTGTGGCTGCCACATCGTATCCACGTGGAGTTTCTGGTTTGGGTCCTTGTTCTCTGGTTATATAAGATGTTAGCAGCTGGGGGTGGAGGAGATGGGGGGTACATAGGAACTCTCTGTGCTATTAATATTTCTGCAATTTTTTGGCTGGGCGCAGTGGCTCACACCTGTAATCCCAGCACTTCGGGAGGCCGAGGCAGATGGATCACCTGAGGCCAGGAGTTCGAGACCAGCCTGCCCAACATGCTGAAACCTGGTCTCTACAAAAACACGAAAATTAGCCAGGCATGATGGCACGTGGCTGTAATCCCAGCTACTCGGGAGGCTGGGGCAGGAGAATTGCTTGAACCCAGAAGGCGGAGGTTGCAGTGAGCCGAGATCACGCCATTGCACTCCAGTCTGGGCGACAGAGCGAGACTCCATCTCAAAATATATATATGTTTTAGTTCTGCAATTTTTATGTGAGTCTAAAATTATTTCAAAATACAACCTTTTTTAATTGGGTAGACTTTGTCAAAATGACTCTACCATCCTGGGGGGAAGCAGTTTTTCATGCACACTTCGCCAGAAGCCTGACCTCCACGTGGACTCAGTGTGACACATTCTCAGAGTCCATTTTAAACACTCGGGCACGCGTTAGAGACACACATTCCCAGCCCCACACAGAACCATGAGATCAGAAACTACGAAGAGTGGGTCTCATTTTTCTCACTTCTCATTCCTGCCGACCTGTGGCAGGTGCCGTTCAGATGCTGGGGGAAGGAAAGGAACAGCTCAGCAATGGTGACAGGATGGGCGCCGCCAGGAACAGTCGCACAGCAGATGCTCCGTGGGGGCAGCGGCTCCCGTTATGCAGCCCTAGAGCGGGCAGGGGCACCAGGCAGGGCAGGGGCCCCGGGGCGGAGGAGGGTGTCCAAGTGCTGAGGACTGAACTGTGTGCCTCAGATTAACGGGTTGAAGCCCTAACTCCCAATGTGACTGTATTTGGAGATGGGCTTTTAAGGAGGTAGCTAAGGTTACGTGAGTCCCAAAGGTGGGGCCCTGGACTGTTGTCCTTATAAGAAGAGGAAGAGACACCAGCAGTGAGCACACAGGGAGAGGCCACATGAGCACACAGAAGAGAGGCCATATGATCACGCAGGGGAGAGGCCACGTGAGGACGTGGGGGAGGGGAGAGGCCACGTGAGCACACAGGAGAGAGGCCATATGATCACGCAGGGGAGAGGCCACGTGAGCACACGGGGGAGAGGCCATGTGAGGATGTGGGGGAGAGGCCACGTGAGCACACGGGGAGAGGCCACAGAAGGACGCAGGGAGAGGCCACGTGATTATGCAGGGGAGAGGCCATGTGAGCACACAGGGAGAGGCCACAGGAGGACGCAGGGAGAGGCCACAGGAGGATGCAGGGAGAGACCACGTGATTATGCAGGGGAGAGGCCACAGGAGGACGCAGGGAGAGGCCACAGGAGGATGCAGGGAGAGACCACGTGATTATGCAGGGGAGAGGCCATGTGAGCACACAGGGAGAGGCTACAGGGTCGTGCAGGGAAAGGGTGCCATCTGCAAGCCACAGAGAGGCATGAGGAGGAACCCACCCTGCCAGCAGCCTGAGCTTGGACCTCCAGACCCAAGAACTTTAAGAACACAAATGTCTGTTGTTTAAGCTGCCCTGTCTGTAGTGTTCCTTTATGGGGGCCTGAGCTGGGACGGCGGGGAAGCAGGGATCCCCCCAGGAGACGTGCAGGGCAGCAGGGGTCCGCGTCACACCACTGTCTGCCTTCCCTTCTTGGTGAGTGCGGCCCACCCCGGGTAGCTAGAGCAGGAGCATGCATCTCAGCCCTGTCCACTTCCTTCAAGCTGCCAGGACCTCTGAGTCCCCTTCGTGGCCCTGCTGGGACCCCCTCCCTCGAGTTTCCAGAAGGGCCCAAGGCAACCTGGGAAGCCGGGTGGCGGTTCTGCCCATGCCTCCCCTTTGGGCCTCCCTGGAATCAGGAGATGCAGCCCCCTGGGGAAGGGACAGAAGGTACAAAGAGGGCCTGTCTCAGACAGGGGCGCTTTCAGGCAGGCACCACCCCAGGCCACTGGCATAGACAACTTTCACCTTTCGGTTTGTTTAGAATTAGCAGTGTTAATTTTACACAGCTCTGATTTAACGTTGTATGTGGTGACTATCCCATCAGGCATGTCAAACAGACACATCAAAAGTCAAATCAAAATATGCCACTTCCCACATCACAAATGTGACTCAGACAATGAACATAAAACTTGACTTGGTGGCTGAGTTACCTTATTAAAATAGTTGGAAGTGATTTCTGTTAATGTAACAGCTGAGAAATGGTTTAAATGAGATCTCTTCTTTGAACTTCACACGTTAATTCCCACTAACTTGCTAAAGGAAAATTCTATCTAAGAGGACCTACCTGATTTATTTGTTATGACTGGGTCTTCATGTTACCCCTCGATTCGGAACATGAATTTCTGGTTCAAACTGTGCCTCCTCCACTTCAATTACATCCTTGGTGTTTAGTGGCACCGTTTTCACGTGACTCCTGCTACCCAAGAATCAAAAGCAGCAGAAGCCCGTGCTCAGCAGGTCCTGAGGCTGCGGCGACCCCACGCCTCCCACTGCCCTAATACGCGGGACTGAATCTCCAAAGAGGAAAACCAAAATCAGGAGCCCAGGGTTGATCGGAGGCCAAAAGCTTCCACAATGAATATGGAATTTTTACTTCCCAGTTAAGAAGAAGAGAGGCCTTACGAGGTTTTCCATTTCCCTGCCCCGTGAGACAGCTGGCATTCTTTAAGAAAAGCATTAAAAATCATCGTGTATTCCAGGAAAGTGTGTGTCCCTGAAGAAGTGGCACATCCCAGAATCTCTGAACTCTGGTGATGGGAGGACCCAGGAGGGCTCCTCAGGAGGGTCCGGGCCTGTTCTCTGTGCACTCCAAGTGCTGAGTGCCTGGGATCAAAGCCCTCATGCTGTCTTCAGGAGCCCTGCTCAGAAACCTGACACCGGGCCAGGAGCTCAGGGCGAGGGACTCTGCACACCCTTTCAACGTGGGGGACCCTCTCCGCTTCCCAGCCAGGAAGCTGCACCAGACACTCACAAAGGTGACTTTGTGCCCGTGAACTCGGCTGCAGCCCACAGTTTGGGCTTGCTGCCGCCGGTGCAGACAGGAAATAGCTGCTCTGCGGCAGCCCGACCCCGTGGCCACAGAGCAGCCTCTGTTCCTTGGTAATCGTCAACATCTGGCAGGCACCTCCACGCCCCTCCGCCCCCACCATACGCTGCTGGCTGGAGGCTCCCGTGCAATGCCAGGTGTGTTGGGAGAGGACAGGCTATACCCACAAGCTGGGCTGGAAGTAAGGAAATCGCTTTAAAAGCAGGAAAACAAATTCGCTTCCCCACGCTTTAACCACTGGTACCTGTAAGAGGCCATCAATGGAATATTCATCTTCTCCAAATGTAAAAAGTAAATCTAAATGGAAGAAGGTCTTTTTCTTCCCCCGCTTTTCCGCGTGACACAGGATGTTATGGAATAGAACTTGAAAGCTGGTGAAGCAGATTTGATGCGGAAAGCAAAGCTCATCAAGGAACCCTGATCACTGTGAACTCACTTAATGGAATAGTTGATGCCGTCATCATAAACAGCACCAACGTTAGAAGCCAGTGATCCTTATACTAAGGTTTCAGTTTTACTGCAGATCAAAATTACATTTTCAAAATTCAGAAAGCATTTCATTACATGGTGCGATCACAAGAAATCCGTAATGTTGGGGCGTATTACTCCCACAACCTCGCTATTAGAGGTGGACGTCCTGGCACCCCTCATGGGGTGCAGAGCACCTTTCTCCTCTTGGACTGAGGTGTGCAGCTGGCTGCCCCCGCTCCTCCCTGTCCCACTAACCTGACCATACCCCCACGAGGCAGAGTGCCTTTCTCCTGCCCTGGAGTGGGGCTGACACAGTCTCGAACACCATAATCCAGGATGTTGAAATCCTGAAAGATCAAAATCCCTAAAGTCTAAAATCCCCCAAATCACAATCCTGAAAAATGTAGTTCTTGAAAAAATAATTTTAAAAATTCTTTACCCCATTTACCCTAATATAGTTATTACACTTTGCATGCCTTTATCAAAATATCTCATGTGCTCCATAATTATATACACCTACTATGTGTCCATAAAAATTTAAAAAATTCTTTATCTCAAATGTTAGCGAGAAAAAGGAAAAAATAAATAATGATTTGAAAGACATTTGCTTACAATTTTAAAAAGAAGACTTATTTGAGAAATGTACAAAAACATGACAGCATGCTTCATAGGCCACTTTACACAATAAAACAGACAATACTAACACACACATTTTTACAAGCATAAACACTCAAGTACACTAATGACAGTCACATGGGTATAACGGTTAATGAGCAGATGAACCGTATTCATAAAGAAATAGCTCCTGTCATCTGAAATATTCTGTTGGACAACCTAAGTCTTTGGACAAGATCCATCAAAAACCATGATGGTTGTATATGTGTGGTTTTATTTCTGAGATCTCTATTCTGTTCTGTTGGCCTATGTGTCTGTTTTTGTACCAGTACCATGCTGTTTTGGTTACTGTAGACTTGTAGTATAGTTTGAAGTCAGGGAGTGTGATGTCTCCAGCTTTGTTCTTTTTGCTTAGGACTGTCTTGGTTATACAGGCTCTTTTTCAGTTCTACATGAATTTTAAAGTAGTTTTTTCTAATTCTGTGAGGAATGTCAATGGTAATTTAATGGGAATAGCATTGAATCTATAAGTTACTTTGGGCAGTATGGCCATTTTCACGATATTGATTCTTCCTATCCATGAGCATGGAATATTTTTCCATTTGTTTGTGTCCTCTCTTATTTCCTTGAGCAGTGGTTTGTAGTTCTCCTTGAAGAGGTCCTTCACCTCCCTTGTTAGCTGTATTCCTAGGTATTTTATTCTCTTTGTAGCAATTGTGAATGGAAGTTCATTCATGATTTAGCTCTCTGCTTGTCTACTGTTGGTGTATAGGAATGCTTGTGATTTTTGCACATTGATTTTGTATCCTGAGACTTTGCTGAAGTTGCTTATCAGCTTAAGGAGCTTTTGGGCTAAGATGATGAAGTTTTCTAAATATAGGATCATGTTGTCTGCAAACAGAGCTTCGACAAACCTGACAAAAACAAGTAATGGGGAAAGGATTCCCTGTTTAATAAATGGTGCAGGGAAAACTGGCTAGCCATATGCAGAAAACTGAAACTGGAGCCCTTCTTTACACCTTATACAAAAATTAACTCAAGATGGATTAAAGACTTAAACGTAAAACCCAAAACTACAAAAACCCTACAAGAAACTCTAGGCAATACCATTCGGGACATAGGCATGGGAAAATATTACATGACAAAAACATCAAAAGCAATTACAACAAAAGCAAAATTGACAAATGGGACCTAATTAAACTAAAGAGCTTCTGCACAGCAAAAGAAACTACACCATCAGAGTGAACAGACAAGCTATGGAATGGGGGAAAATTTTTGCAATCTGTCCATCTGACAAAGGTCTAATATCTGGAATCTACAAGGAACTTAACTTTACAAGAAAAAACAAACAACCCATCAAAAAGTGGGCAAAGGACATGAACAGACACTTCTCAAAAGAAGACATTTAGGCAGCAACAAACATATGATAAAAAGCTCAACATCACTGATCATCAGAGAATTGAAAACCAAAACCACAATGAGATACCACCTCAAGCCAGTCAGAATGGCGATTTTTTAAAAATCAAGAAACAACAGATGCTGGCAAGGCTGTGGAGAAGTAGGGATGCTTTTACACTGTTGGTGGGAATGTAAATTAGTCCAACCATTGTGTAAGACAGTGTGGTGATTCCTCAAGGATCTACAACCAGAAATGCCATTTGACCCAGCAATCCTACTACTGGTACATACCCAAAGGAATACAGATCATTCTATTATAAAGGTACATGCACGCGTATGTTCACTGCAGCACCATTCACAATAGCAAAGACATGTAATCAACCCAAATGCCCATCAATGATAGACTGGATAAAGAAAATGTGGTATACCATGGAATATTATGTAGTCATAAAAATGAATGAGATCATGTACTTTGCAGGGACATAGATGGAGGTGGAAGCCATTATCCTCAGCAAACCAAAACAGGAACAGAAACCCAAACACTGCATGTTCTCACTCATAAGTGGGAGCTGAACAATGAGAACATATGGACACGGGGGGAACAACACACACTACGGCCTGTTGTGGAGGTGGGGGAAGGGAGGGCATCAGGAAAAATAGCTAATGCATGCAGGGCTTAATACCTAGGTGGTGGGTTGATGGGTGCAGCAAACCACCATGGCACAGGTTTGCCTATGTAACAAATGTACCCCCCATTCTGCACATGTATTCTGGAACTAAAAAAAAAAAAAAAAAAAAAGATGGTTACCACCACATACACATTCACCCCAAAAGCCAAGATCTCAAGAAATTTCATCTTTCATAAATGCAGATGTACAAAAAGGACATCTTTTCATTTACTAAGGAAGTTTCAACGTTTTTACGGACATGCACAATGCTTACAAAGTCAACATTGTTGATAGTGCACCTTTGTGGAGTCGAATTTGCAAAAAGATGCATAAATGAATTACAGCTCTGTAAAAGAAATGATGCAAAGGTGAAACACAAGCATAGTGATTGTAAAACATAATGCTGACAATTTAAAATAGAAAAAACAAACAAAAATAGAAAAAATTACAAACAATAAAAAACTAAACAGAAAATCTGATTTATGAAAAAGTATACCACAGGAGTATATTACGGGCAATTGCACAGAAACAGTCCCTAAGAGCTGGCTGACTTTCACAATCATTAAGTGTATTTTGAAGGTTTGCATCACAATGGATAACCGCTTTCTTTTAAGACATGGCTTCCTTGGAGAATGAGCTCACATTCATCTTCTCTGCGGCACTGCTCTTTTTGAAACTCCTCTGTGATTTGACACACACCAGGATAAGCCTTCTCCTTACATTTTCCCGTCTTCCATGCTGTGCTTCTGTGTTGTTCTGGGTACGTGGATATGCATTCTGCATGCCCTCTTGTACAGACCCCAGGTTTAATACAAACCATACTGGTGATGGAACAGAACACTGTTGTGTAAGTGTCTTCTTATCCTACTATACACACAATTATTTTGAAGCAGTCAGTCACTTTGCTGGTTTCTTTGGGCAAATGTGGCCATGATTCCCTAAAAGCTCTCAGTGTGTGATCAGCTGGGAGGAACGCCAACGCAGGCAGTGTCATCAGCAGGAACGCCAACACAGGCAAGAGACTCGCCATCGTAGGCAAGAGACTCAACTCATTTTTAAACGGAAGTTTCTGTCACTGCCATATCACGTGGCCAAGCCACTCATCTGGATTTTGCACCAAATGCATTGGACTGAATGGAAAAAACAAACTTTATTGGTAACAACTTGAAATTCACTTACAGAAGACTTGATGGCACCTAATTCCAAATCCATCATTATAGTTTGGGGATTCAGTTAGATGCTAGGAATTTTAGATTTGGGGATTTTGATCTTTAGGGATTTCAAATTTCAGAATTACAGCACTGGAGATTCTGTCTTCCAGGACTGTGACAGGCACTGGTTGAAGCCCTAACCCCCTATTTGAGGTATTGTGGAAATGGGGCCTCTGGGAGATGATTAGATTTCACGTGAGGGTGGGGCTCTACTGGGATCAGTGTCTTTATAATAAGAGACACCACAGAGCCTGCTCTCTCTCCCTCTGTCTCTGCCATATCAGGGTTCAGAGAAAAGGTGGGTGTCTGCAAGCCAGGAAGAGCCACATCAGAAAGCAAGCCCTGCCAGGTCTTGATCTAAGACTTTCCAGCTTCCAGAATTGTGAGAAAATAAATTCTGTTGTTTAAGCCACCTAGCCTCTGGCATTTTGTTATGGCAGCCTGAGCTGATTAAGATAATAATCCAGATCGTAGATGAAAATTAACTAAAAAATGGATTGTAGATCTGTATGTAAAACCCAAAACTATACACTTTTTAGAAGAAAACAGGAGGAAAACTTTTGTGAACTGGGTTAGCCAAAGATTTCTTAGATACAACATCAAAACCACATCCATGGGCGGGGAGTGGGGAGCAAGGTGGCTGATATGGTTTGGCTGTGTCCCTACCCAAATCTCATCTTGAATTGTACTCCCATAATTCCCACGTGTTGTGGGAAGGACCCAGTGGGAGATAACTGAATCATGAGGGCAGTTTCCCCCATACTGTTCTCATGGTAGTGAATAAGTCTCACAAGATCTGATGGTTTTACATGGGGTTTCCGATTTCGCTTCTCTCTCATTCTCTCTTTGCCTGTCGCCATCCACGTAAGCTTGGTCCTCCTTGCCTTCTGCCATGATTGTGAGGCCTCCCCAGCCAAGTGGAATGCAGATGCAGCTTAGATCGCAACACTCAAGTCCTACTGACTACCTGGAAAGCCTTTCCAAGAAGGACAGGTACGAACAAACATAGACTGCAAAGACTATATGACAAATACCTATCTCTGCAATGCCCAGACACAGATGAACATCCATAAGCATCAAGACCATCCTGGAAAACATGACCTTACCAAATGAACTAAATGAGGCACCAGGGACCAATCCTGGAGAAACAGAGATATGTGACCTTTCAGTCAGAGAATTCAAAGTAGTTGTTCTGAGGAAACTCAGAGAAATTCAAGATAACACAGAAGGTATTCGGAATTCTATTTAAAAAAATTAACAAAGAGATTAAAATAATTAAAAAGAAGCAGAAATTCTGGAGCTGAAAAATGCAGTTGACATACTAAAGAATGAATCAGAACTTTTTAATAGCAGAATTGATCAAGCAGAAGAATTAGTGAGCTTGAAGAAAGGCTATTTGAAAATACATAGTCAGAGAAGACAAAATAAAAAAGAATAAACAATAATGAAGCATGCCTACAATATCTAGAAAATCACCTCAAAAGGGCAAATCTAAGAGTTATTGGCCCTAAAAAGGAGGTAGAGAGATAGGGGTAGAAAATTTATTCAAAGGGATAATAACTTCCCAAACCTAGAGAAAGCTATCAATATCCAAGAATAAAGAGGTTATAGAACACCAAGCAGATTTAACCCAAAGAAGACTACCTCAAGGCATTTAATAATCAAACTCCTGAAGGTCAAGGATAAAGAAAGGACCCTACAAGCAGCAAGAGAAAAGAAACAAATAACACAATGGAGCTGCAATATGTCTGGCAGCAGACTTTTCGGTAGAAACTTTACAGGTCAGTCTTTCATGCCTAGGAGAGGATGGCATGACATATGTAACGTGCTGAAGGAAAAAACTTTTACACTAGAATAGTATATCCAATGAAAATATCCTTCAAACATGAAGGAGAGATAAAGACTTTCCCAGACAAACAAAAGCTGAGGGATATTATCAACACCAGACCTGTCCTACAAGAAATGCTAAAGAGAGTACTTTAATCAGAAAGAAAGGGATATTAATGAGCAAAAAGAAATCACCTGAAGGTACAAAACTCACTGCTAATATGAGTACACAGAAAAACACAAAGTATTATAATGCTGTAACTGTGGTGTGTAAACTACTCTTAAGTGAAAGACTGAACAATGAACCAATCAAAAAGAATAACTATAATAACTTTTCAACAGATAGTACAATAAGATATAAATAGAAACAACAAAAAGTTAAAAAGTGGGGGACAAAGTTAAGGTATAGAGTTTTTATTAGTTTTCTTTTTGCTTGCATGTTTGTTTATGCAAATAGTATTAAGTTGTTATTAGCTTAAAATAATGGGTAATAAGATAATATTTGTAAGCCTGGTGGTAACCTCAAATAAAAAATATACAATGAATACACAAACCATAAAAAGCAAGAAATCAAATCATATTGCCAGAGAAAATCACCTTCACTAAAAGGAAGACATGAAGGAAGGAAAGGAAGAGGAGAATACCAAAATACAACCAGAAAACAAATAACAAAATGGCAGGAGTAAGTCCTTATTTATCAATAGTAACATTAAATGTAAGTGGATTAAATTCTCCAATCAAAAGACATAGAGTGGCTGAATGGATTAAAAAACAAGACCCAATGATCTGTTGCCTACAAGAAACACACCTGGCTTCTAAAGAAACAGGCTTAAAATAAAGCAGTGGAAAAACATACTCCATGCCAATGGAACCAGAAAAGAGCAGGAGTAGCTATACTTATATTGAGGGTCTATCTCAGATGAAATAGATTTAAAGAAAAAAATTATGAGACAAAGAAGGTCACCATATGATGATAAAAAGGTCAACTCAAGAGAATATAACAGTCATAAATATATATGCACCCAATATTGTAGCACCCAGATATATAAAGCAAAATATTATTAAAGCTAAAGAGATAGACCCTCAATATAATAACATCTGGAGACTTCAACACCCTCTTCAACACCTTCAATTTTCAGCACTGAACAGATTTTCCAGACAGAAAATCAACAAGAAACATTGGACTTAATCTGTGCTACAGACCAAATGGACCTAATAGATATTTACAAAATATTTCCTCCATTGGCTGCGGAGTACACATTCTTTTCCGCAGCACATGGATCATCCTCAAGGACAGATCATTTGTTAGGTCACAAAACAAGTCTTACAACATTAAAAAAAAAAACACCTGAAATAATATCAAGCATCTCCTCTGACTACTAAAATATCTAGTTTTATTTAATGGACTAAAACTAGAAATCAATAAGAGGAATTTTGGAAACTATACAAACAATGGTAATTTAACAATATGCTCCTGAATGACAAGTGGGTCAATGAAGAAAGTAAGAAGGAACTTAAAACATTTCTTGAAACAAATGATAATGGAAACACAACATACCAAAACCTATAGGATATAGCAAAAACAGTACTAAGAAGGAAGTTTTAAATAGTTATAAGTGTCTACATCAAAAAAGAAGAAAACCTTCAAATAAACAACCTAACAATGCATCTTAAGCAACTAGAAAAGCAACAAACCCAAAATTAGTAGAAGAAAATAAATAACAAAAATCAGAGCAGAAATAAATGAATTCAACATAAAGAAAATACAAAAGATCAATGAAACAAAAAGTTGGTTCTTTGAAAAGATAAACAAAATTGATAAACTTTTAGCCAGACTAACAAAAAAAGAGAGAACACCCAAATAAAATCAGGGATGAAAAGAGAGACATTACAACTGATACTGGAGAAATTCAAAGAAATTAGTGGCTAGTATGAGCAAGTATACACCAATAAATTGGAAAATCTAAGGGAAAAATTTAGAAAAATTAGAAATAAATCTAGGGGAAGAGATCTAGAAAATCTAGGAAAAAAAATCAAAATTCCTAGACACATACAGCCTACCAAGACTGAACCATGAAAAAATCCAAAACCTAAATAGATCAATAACAAGTAACAGGGTCAAAGTCATAATACAAAGTCTCCTAGCAAAGAAAAGCCTGGGACCCAATGGCTTCACTGCTGAAATCTACCAAACATTTAAAGAACTAATACCAATCCTACCCAAATTATTCCAAAAAATAGAGGAGGAAGGAATACTTCCAAACTCACTCTACAAGACCAATTTTACCCTGATACCAAAACCAGACAAAGACACATAAAAAAATTAAAACTATAGGCCAATATCACTGTAACCACTGAAATCCTCAACAAAGTACTAGCAAACCGAATTCAACAACACATTAAAAAGATCATTCATCACGACCAAGTGGGATTTATTCCAGGGATGCAAGGATAGTTCAACATATGCAAATCAATTAATGTGATACATCATGTCAACAGAATAGACACAAAAACCATATGATCAATTCAATTCATGCTGAAAAAGCATTTGATAACATTCAACATCTCTTCATGATTAAAAATCCTAAAAAGCAAGGTATAGAAGGAACATCCCTTAACATAATAAAAGCCATATACAAAAGATCCACAATTAGTATCATATTGAATGAAGAAAAACTGAAAGCCTTTCCTCTGAGATTGGGAACATGACAAGCATGCCTACTGTCACCACTGTTATTCAACATTGTACTGAAAGTCCTAGCTAAAGCAATCAGGCAAGAGAAATAAAGGGCATCCAAATTGGAAAGGAAGAAGTCAAATTCTCCATGTTTGCAGATGATATAATCTTA
Organism: Homo sapiens; assembly: GCF_000001405.40. NCBI lineage: Eukaryota > Metazoa > Chordata > Mammalia > Primates > Hominidae > Homo > Homo sapiens. The sequence goes on along the minus strand of NT_187612.1, from coordinate 106,383 downwards.
TATTTTAAAAAAACCTAAAGACTCCACCAAACAACTATTAGACCTGATAAACAAACTCAGCAAAGTTTCAGGATACAAAATCAACATACAAAAGTCAGTAGCATTTCTTTTTCTTTTTTTTTTTTTTTGAGATGGAGTCTCACCCTGTCACCCAGGCTGGAGTGCAGTGGCATGATCTTGGCTCACTGCAACCTCTGCTTCCCGGGTTCAAGCAATTCTCCTGCCTCAGCCTCCCAAGTAGCTGGGATTACAGGCATGTGCCACCACGCCTGGCTAATTTTGTATATTTTAAGTAGAGACGGGGTTTCGCTATGTTAACCAGGATGGGTCTCGATCTCCTGACCTCATGATCCACCCACCTCGCCCTCCCAAAGTGCTGGGATTATAGATGTGAGCCACTATGTCCGGCCATCAGTAGCATTTCTATATGCCAACAGTGAACAATTTGAAAAAGAAATCAAGAAAGTAATCTCATTTACAATAGCTACAAATAAAATAAAATATCTAGGAATTAACTAAAATAAAAGAGTGAAAGATCTCTACAATGAAAACTATAAAACACTGATGCAAGAAATTAAAGAAGAGTAATCTCATTTACAATAGTGATAACTAAAATAAAATGCCTAGGAATTAACTCAACCAAAGGAGTGAAAGATCTCTACGATGAAAACTATAAAACACTGATGCAAGAAATTAAAGAAGAGTAATCTCATTTACAACAGTGATAACTAAAATAAAATTACCAAGGAATTAACTCAACCAAAGGAGTGAAAGATCTCTATGATGAAAACTATAAAACACTGATGCAAGAAATTAAAGAAGGCACCAAAAAAATGGAAAGATATTCCAGGTTCACGGATTCGAAGAACGACTATTGTTAAAATATCTATACTACCCAAAGCAATCTATAGATTTAATGCAATCCCTATCAAAATACCAATGGCATTCTTCACAAAAACAGAAAACACAGGCTGGGTGCAGTGGCTCATGCCTGTAATCCCAGCACTTTGGGAGGCCAAGGCAGGTGGATCATGAGGTCAGGAGTTTGAGACCAGCCCTGGCCAATATGGTGAAACCCCCTCTCCATTAAAAATACAAAATTAGCTGGGTATGGTGGTGCGCACCTGTAGTCCCAGCTGCTCAGCAAGCTGAGGCAGGAGAATCACTCGAACCCTGGAGGCAGAGGTTGCAGTGAGCCGAGAACGCGCGACTGCACTCCAGCCTGGATGACAGAGCGAGACTCTGCCTCAAAAAAAAAAAAAAAAATAGAAAACACAACCCTAAAATTTATATGAAACCACAGAAGAACCAGAATAGCCCCAGCTATCCTAAGCAAGAGGAACAAAATTGGAGGAATCACATTACCTGACTTAGACTACAGAGCTATAGCAATCAAAACAGCATGGTACTTGCATAAAAACAGACACATAGATCCGTGGAACAGAATAGAGAACCCATAGATAAATCAATATATCTACAGTGAACTCATTTTTGACAAACATGCCAAGAACTTACATTGGGGAAGAGATGGTCTCTTCAATAAATGGTGTTGGGAAAACTGGATATCCATATGCAAAAGAATGAAATTAGACCCCTATCTTTCACCATATGCAAAAATCAAATCAAAATGGATTAAAGACTTACATTTAAGACTTCAAACTATGAAACTACTGAAAGAAAACATTGGGGAAATTCTCTAGGACATTGGACTGGGCAACGATTTCTTGAGTAAGACCCCACAAGCACAGGCAACCAAAGCAAAAATGGGCAGACGGGATCACATCAAGTTAAAAAGCTTCTGTACAGCAAAGGAAACTATCAACAAAGTGAAGAGACAACCCACAGAATGGGAGAAAATATTTGTAAATTACCCATCTGACAAGGGATTAATAACCAGAACATATACAGAGCTCAAACAACTCTAGGAAAAATAGAATAATCCGATTAAATGTGGGCAAAAGATCTGAACAGACACTTCTCAAAAGAAGACAAATAGCAAACAGGCACATGAAAAGGTGCTCAACATCACTGATCATCAGAGAAATGCAAATAAAACATACAATTTTTCTCATTCCAGTTAAAATGGCTTTTATCCAAAAAATCAGTCCATAACAAATGCTGGTGAAGATGTGAAGAAAAGGGAACCCCTGTACAATGTCGGTGGGAATGTAAATTAGTACAACCACTATGGAGAACAGTTTGGAGGTTCCTCAAAAAACTAAAAATAGAGCCACTGTATGATCCAGCAATCCCTCTCCTGGGTATATGCTCAAAAGAAAGGAAATCAGTATATCAAAGAGTTGCCTGCACTCACGTATTCACTGCAGCACTATTCACAATAGCCAAGATTTGGAAACAATCTAAATGTCTATCATCACATGAATGAATAAAGAAATGTGGTACATACACACAATGAAGTGTATGAATGAGATCCTGGCATTTGCAACAACATAGACGGCACTGGGGGGTCATTATGTTAAGTGAAATAAGCCAGACACAGAAAGACAAACTTCACATGTTCTCGCTTATTTGTGGGAGCTAAACATTCAAACAATTGACCTCATGGAGATAGAGAATAAAAGGATGGTTACCAGAGGCTGGGAAGAGTAGTGGGTGGTGGGAGGGAAGTAGGGAAGGTTAATGGGTTTAAAAAAAAAAATATATATATATATATATCTATATCTATCTAGATCTATCTATCTATCTATATCTATATATAGATATATATCTAGATATATATAGTTACAAAGAATGAATAAGACCTAGAATTTGCTGGCACAACAGGGTGACTATAGTCAAAATTAGTTTAACTCTACACTTAAAAATAACTAAAAGAATATAGTTGTATTGTTTGTAACACAAAGGATAAATGCTTGAGGTGAAGTGACGGATACCCCATTTACCCTGATGTGATTATCATGCACTGCATGCCTATATGCAAATATCTCACATAATCCATAAATATACGTACTTACTATGTACCCACAATAATTTAAAAAAATTTTAAATCTAAAAAAGCATGTCCATAAAAGGAAAATAGATAAATTGAATTTCATCAAAAATTACAACTTTGTTTGTTTTGTTTTGTTTTGAGACGGAGTTTCACTCTGTCTCCCAGGCTGGAGTGCAGTGGCACAATCTCGGCTCACTGCAAGCTCTGCCTCCCGGGTTCATGCCATTCTCCTGCCTCAGCCTCCTGAGTAGCTGGGACTACAGGCGCCCACCACCATGCCTGGCTAATTTTTTGTATTTTTAGTAGAGATGGGGTGTCACTGTGTCAGCCAGGATGGTCTCAACTGCCTGACCTCATGATCCACCCACCTTGGCCTCCCAAAGTGCTGGGATTACAGGCGTGAGCCACCATGCCTGGCCCAAAAATTACAACTTCTACTCTTTGAAAGACATTGTTAAAAGAATGAAAAGACAAGCCACTGACTCAGAAAACATATTTACAAAGTCTGACAAAGGACTTGTGTCTGGAATATATAAACAACTCTTAAAATTCAACAATAAGAATGCAAACAATTCAACACAAAAATGGGCAAAGGATGTGAACAGACACTTTACCAAAGAAGATACACGGATGGCAAATACATCTACGAAAAGATGTTTCACATTATTACCCATTTGAGAAATGCAAACTAAAATCACCACGAGATACCACTACATACCTACTAGATTAGCTAAAATTAAAAAAAAAAAAAGATCATATCAAGAGTTGGCAAGGACATGGAAGAACTGAATTCTCATACATGGCTTGAGAATGTAAAATGGTGCAACCAATTTGGAAAGCACTTTGGCAGTTTCTTTAAAAGTGAAACACATCCCTACCATATGAACCAGCCCTTCCACTTCTAAGTATTTTCCCAAGAGAAAAGGCTGGACATATATTCACTGTCATGCACACACAAAGGCTTGTACATATGTTCACTGTCATGCACAAAGGCTTGTACATATGTTCACTGTCATGCACACACAAAGGCTTGTACATATGTTCACTGTCATGCACACACAAAGGCTTGTACATATGTTCACTGTCATGCACAAAGGCTTGTACACAAATGTGCAAGGAACTGGAACAACTCAAATGTCCATCTACAGCTAAGTGGGTAAACAAATTGTACATCCACACCACAGAACACAGCTGACCCCTGAACAATGTGGGGGTTAGGGGTGCTGACCCCCTGCACAGTTGAAAATCCATGTATAAGTTTTAACTCCCCGAAAATTTAACCACTAATGCCTTCCTGTTGATGGGAAGCCTTACCGATAACATCAACGGTCGGTTAACACATATTTTGTATGTTATATGTACTATATGCTGTATTTTTACAATAAAGTAAGCTAGAGGAAAGAAAAGCTTATTAAGAAAATCATAAGGAAGAGAAAATACATTTATGGTACTGTACTGTATTTATTGATACCCTAAGTTCACGTAGTCTGTTTACAAGAATCATCTGTCTGAAATGACCACAGCTGCAGCCCTCAGTCTACAGTACATAGCAAGGAATTCAGCTTTTTCTTGTAATGTCATGACTTTTCTCTGCTTTTTGGGAGCACCTCCAGCATTACCAGTGGCACTGTGTATGGGTCCTAGGGTGTCACTCAAGGTTTATAGGATCGCCTTAAACATGATTAAAACTGTGTGAAAACTGTGAGAGGTCACTGGTTTTTTTTGTTGTTGTTTTTTGTTTTGTTTTGTTTTTTTGAGATGGAGTCTCGCTCTGTCACCCAGGCTAGAGTGCAGTGGCGCGATCTCAGCTCACTGCAACCTCTGCCACCTGGGTTCAAGCGATTCTCCTGCCTCAGCCTCCCATGTAGCTGGGATTACAGGCACCTGTCACTGTGCCTGGCTAATTTTTGTATTTTTAGTAGGGACGGGGTTTCACCATCTTGGCCAGGCTGGTCTCGAACTCCTGACCTCATGATCCACCTGCCTTGGCCTCCGAAAGCGCTGGGATTACAGGCATGAGCCACTGCGCCTGGCCGAGAGATCACTTTTTTACTGTGATTTGTGATTTACTGGAGGGAGGAGCTGTGCTTGCGGAGATGATCAGCCTCACCCAGCGTTTTAAGCACTCACAGCACCTGAGCTCGCGGCTGTGCCGGCAGGAGGGGTTTGTAAAACATCAGTCGTGCAGCACGCACTGCAGTGAGTTTTGTGCAGTTGTGATTCATTTCTGCATCCCTACATTTGTTTAATTTCTCTAAACTGTGAAAGACCCCATATGTGGTCTATAAGTGTTTGTATGCATGTTAAGTTTTGATAAATTTTAACTTTTTATAATAGATTTGTGTATAATTTTTGGTATTACATGATTTAAAAACACTAGCATCACTATATATTTTATGTACTCATGACACATCTTTTTGTTAGTGTTTTCAGTATTCCTAGGCCATGCTGTTTGTCTGAAAGCTTTTCCAAATTGTTACACATCTCCAAAAACCTCTCCAATACACTTGCTGAGAAAAACCCAAGTGTACGTAGGCTGTGCAGTTCCAACACACTGTTCGAGGGTCACCACTGCTGTGAGCGAGCCACGCATCTGGACCCACAGTAATTATGCTGAGTGAAGGTGGCCAGACCAGTGAAGCACACAGCACATGACTGCATTTACCTGAGCCTCCAGCAAATGTAAAACTGCTGTGCAGGCAGAAAGTGGGTCATGGTTGCATGGTGTGGGGAGGGCTCCGGGATGGACAGGAGGAAACTTGGGGTGTTGGATATATGTGTTCACTGTGTTGACTGTGGTGGGTCACTGGGGTACAGACACATGTCAAAACCGATCAAACTGTACATTTGAAATAGGGGCCATTTGCTGTATGTCAGTTATACATCAACAAAGCTATACATCAACAAAGGTATACATCAACAAGACAAATGGACAAATCACTGTAAATCCCATAAAGCCTCTAGCTCTAAGTACTACTTTGCAGGAACTCCAGGGACAGAGGAATCTGTTAAATGAGACCAGGGAGATGCAATCAGCAGAAGTCGGACTACTGAAAGCACCGATGGCAAATCATTCAACATCGTCCACAACATAGTCAAGGAAAAGGAAGACGGAGGAATCTGGATATTTAAAGGGATTTATCAACAACTGCAATGTATGCACCTTCTTTAGATCTCAATTCAAACCAGAAACTGTGAAGAAAAAAGGAAGAAGATGAGAAAGTGGACAAGGAGGAGAAAAACAGAACTTTATGAAACAGAAAGTCCCAGGAAGGAACACTTCGGCATCCTTCAAGTCAACACAGGGTGTAGGACTCCATTTACGTAAAATTCCAGCAAACGTAAACCAGTCTATGGTCACAGAAAGCAGAGGGGCGGGCGGGGTGGGGGACGGGAGCCCCTCTAGGTGCTGGGTGTGTGACCTGCACACAGAGACATCTGAGAGGAACAAGTGGTGGGTTTGCAGTAACATCGTTTTTTCTCTGTAATTTTTTATATTGCTTGACTTTATGAAACAGTGAAGCATAACTTTTGACAAATGCAATAAAGTTTTTCTTTTTCTTTTTTTGAGACAGGGTCTGTTGCCCAGGCTGGAGGGCAGTGGTACAATCATGGCTCATGGTGGCCTTGACCTCCTGGGCTCAGGTGATCCTCCCACCTCAGCCTCCCGAGAAACTGGGACTAAAGGTGTGAACCACCACACCCAGATAATGTTTCGTAGAGACAGGGTCTCACTATATTGCGCAGACTGGTCTTAAATCCCCAGGCTCAAGTGATCCTCCTGCTTCAGCCTCTCAAAGTGCTGGGATTATAGGCGTGAGCCACTGCGCCTTTTTTTTTTTTTAAATTTCCCACACTATACTGGCATGAAGGTCTATTTTAAAATTGTTTTAAGTGAATACAGTATGTAACTGATAAAAGAACATTGATTCATTTTAATTAAAAAACATGAAAATAAAAAACTCTTCTATGGGCATCAAAGCTAACACTCAGGAGAAAGCCTGCCCCCACGGGGCAGCTCAGCCATGGCCTCCGGGGAACCCGCTCTCGGTGACAGCGCTCTGACCGCGGTCTGGAGCTGGGCTGAAACTCAACATGTGTCCAGACTGCTGCAGTTCAGAACCAGCTTGGCAACGCCGAACCGCATTCCGGTTTGCACGAGGTGCACGTTACTTAGAAAAGTAGCCACAGTCTGCCTGAGTTCCCGTTTTAAGTATTTTCACAACTTCACTGAAAAGCACAGCAACTCACTCACAGTGTGCAGCCTAGTCACCAGGACACGCGCCCTCGGCCGCTAGCTCGTACAGGGAAGGGCTGTCATGACATGACCACAAGATGGTCTCTGCCTCCCCCAGGGGCAGCCAAGGGCCCCACAGAGGATGGCAGGGACAAGCCACCCATGTGGCAACGGCCACGTCCCCTCCCTCAGACGGCAGCCAGTCATACCCGAGGCGGCACCGCGGGCGGCCCCGTGTCCAGTCTCACAGAAGCACAGTCCACTGCCGAGGACACCCTGTTGTCCACATCGCATGCAGCAGCCTGGCTCTTGGAACGTGCTGGGGGCACACGGGACACGGAGACGCTGAAACACTAGCTGTGGGATTCCTGAGCCCGCCCTCCCACTCTCTGCAGTCCGCGTGTGGGATTCCTGAGCCCGCCCTCCGCGTGTGGGATTCCTGAGCCCGCCCTCCCGCCCTCCGCAGTCCGCGTGTGGGATTCCTGAGCCCGCCCTCCCGCCCTCCGCGTGTGGGATTCCTGAGCCCGCCCTCCCACTCTCTGCAGTCCGCGTGTGGGATTCCTGAGCCCGCCCTCCCGCCCTCCGCGTGTGGGATTCCTGAGCCCGCCCTCCCACTCTCTGCAGTCCGCGTGTGGGATTCCTGAGCCCGCCCTCCCGCCCTCCGCGTGTGGGATTCCTGAGCCCGCCCTCCCGCCCTCCGCGTGTGGGATTCCTGAGCCCGCCCTCCCGCCCTCCGCGTGTGGGATTCCTGAGCCCGCCCTCCCGCCCTCCGCGTGTGGGATTCCTGAGCTCGCCCTCCCACTCTCTGCAGTCCGCGTGTGGGATTCCTGAGCCCGCCCTCCCACTCTCTGCAGTCCGCGTGTGGGATTCCTGAGCACGCCCTCCCGCCCTCCGCGTGTGGGATTCCTGAGCCCGCCCTCCCGGCCTCCGCGTGTGGGATTCCTGAGCCCGCCCTCCCGCCCTCCGCGTGTGGGATTCCTGAGCTCGCCCTCCCACTCTCTGCAGTCCGCGTGTGGGATTCCTGAGCCCGCCCTCCCACTCTCTGCAGTCCGCGTGTGGGATTCCTGAGCCCGCCCTCCCGCCCTCCGCGTGTGGGATTCCTGAGCCCGCCCTCCCACTCTCCGCAGTCCGCGTGTGGGATTCCTGAGCCCGCCCTCCCACTCTCTGCAGTCCGCGTGTGGGATTCCTGAGCACGCCCTCCCGCCCTCCGCGTGTGGGATTCCTGAGCCCGCCCTCCCGGCCTCCGCGTGTGGGATTCCTGAGCCCGCCCTCCCGCCCTCCGCGTGTGGGATTCCTGAGCTCGCCCTCCCACTCTCTGCAGTCCACGTGTGGGATTCCTGAGCCCGCCCTCCCACTCTCTGCAGTCCGCGTGTGGGATTCCTGAGCTCGCCCTCCCACTCTCTGCAGTCCGCGTGTGGGATTCCTGAGCTCGCCCTCCCACCCTCCGCGTGTGGGATTCCTGAGCCCGCCCTCCCGCCCTCCGCGTGTGGGATTCCTGAGCTCGCCCTCCCACTCTCTGCAGTCCGCATGTGGGATTCCTGAGCTCGCCCTCCCACCCTCCGCAGTCCGCGTGTGGGATTCCTGAGCTCGCCCTCCCACCCTCCGCAGTCCGCGTGTGGGATTCCTGAGCCCGCCCTCCCACTCTCTGCAGTCCGCGTGTGGGATTCCTGAGCCCGCCCTCCCACTCTCTGCAGTCCGCGTGTGGGATTCCTGAGCCCGCCCTCCCACCCTCTGCAGTCCGCGTGTGGGATTCCTGAGCCCGCCCTCCCACTCTCTGCAGTCCGCGTGTGGGATTCCTGAGCCCGCCCTCCCACTCTCTGCAGTCCGCGTGTGGGATTCCTGAGCTCGCCTTCCTGCCCTCTGCGGTCTGCGTGTGGGATTCCTGAGCCCGCCCTCCCGCCCTCCGCGTGTGGGATTCCTGAGCTCGCCCTCCCACTCTCTGCAGTCCGCATGTGGGATTCCTGAGCTCGCCCTCCCACCCTCCGCAGTCCGCGTGTGGGATTCCTGAGCTCGCCCTCCCACCCTCCGCAGTCCGCGTGTGGGATTCCTGAGCCCGCCCTCCCACTCTCTGCAGTCCGCGTGTGGGATTCCTGAGCCCGCCCTCCCACCCTCCGCAGTCCGCGTGTGGGATTCCTGAGCTCGCCTTCCTGCCCTCTGCGGTCTGCGTGTGGGATTACTGAGCTCACCCTCCCGCCCTCCGCGTGTAAGTGGACCTGTGCGGTCGGGTTTCCCAGCTCAGAACTTGAACCAGCCTGAACTGCCGGCCTGAGACCAGCCTAGCACATGTGTCCGCTGGGGCCACTCTCATCTTCCACTCTGTGCGATTGATGGCATGTGAGTGAAGGCGAGGACAGAAGGACCATGGCCCACGACGACGCAGACACAAGAGGCCACAGCATAATGCATGAGATGGCGCCCAGAGGCGACCTGTGCACCTGCCCCAGACAAGGCGCCAGGCGAGGTACCTGGGTTAGGAGCTGCTCCGGCGTCAGCTGGTTGATCCAACGTGTGTATCGTTCGGTGGAGTTAGGGGGATCTCTCCTCACTCTGCAACCAATGATCTGTGAAAAACAACGGCAGACAGAGCTCAAAACAAAGTCAGGTACGCAGGTGCATGTGCACACCTGTGTGTATTCATCTCACATGTTTTAGGCAGAGATGTCCAGACAGGAAACTGAAATGCTGCAAATCTGGGTCAGGCAAACACCGGGAGTCGAGGGCGAGGAGGAGGAGGGATGCCTGCTTTTGCTTGGGGACAGCATAGCAACGATGGGCACGACAGAAGACGGCCCTGGACGCGCATCTTGGCGGTGAACCACAGAGCTGCCCTGGGCTGGATTGAGAATATGTCACAGATGACATTTCCCCTTAATGAACTCAAATCAAATGGCCCATATGCAAGGTGAGTTATTTCTAAGAACTCACTTCTTGAATCACATGCAAAGTGGATGTGAGGAAACCGCTGCCTGTCCGCAGGCCGCCCGTCTGAACCTGCTCCATTCAGCTCAGGAAAGCAGCGTCCCTAAGTGGAGAAGAGCCTTGCTACCAGCTGGCTTCCTCCAGGGCCGACAACCCTCTCCCCGGGCATCCAGGCCAGCACCCCTGCCTCAGGTGACATCCTGTCAGTAGCCTTGACCCCCTCCCGGGCCCTGCAGAGCCTCAGAGCATCACCTGCCTCAGCCTTTCTCAACCCTTCCCCCGCCCTCCGCCCTGCCCGGCCCCCTCCAGCCTGACCTCTGCCCCGGAGTGGGCTCCCAGCACTCAGCCCTGGCTCTGTTCTGCTCCTGAGATCCAGAGGTAGGAGGGCAGGTCCTTCAGGGCTCACACTCACCTTGCAGTGGGAGGAGCTGGCTGGAGAGAGGGCACCTGGGCGCGTCCGTAGGAAACAGCACCCACCCCAAGTGAGGGCCCAGGGCCAGCAGAGCCTCCCGAGTAGACGTTCTCACAGCACAGGCCCCAGGTCACAAGTCCCAGCGGACGCAGCTGATTCCGTCTCACCCAAGACCAACAAGGAGACAATAGTGAAAATGTAACTGTGGTCCAAAGAGTGGTATCAGTGAGCCAGTCTCCTAACTCGGAAGCGATGAAGTCACACCGAGGCATCTGAGGCCCCTGGATCTGTCTCCAACTTGTGTAGCGTTTACGCGTAGTGAGTGATTCTTTTCTACCAATGCAGTTAATGACGTGCTTGGGGGAGGCTTCTGTTTGCATTTGTTGTTGTTGTTGTTTTTTAATTAAACTTACTTTGAGAAAATTGTGAATTCACATTGCAGCTGTAAGAAACAACTGTAGAGAGACCCTCTGTGCCCTTCACCACTTCCTCTGGTGGTAACATCACGAGGACCCAAGGTCAACGCCGCACCAGGAGAGGGACATGATGGAGTCCAGATCCAGATGTCCCAGGGCACGAGCACCCGAGGCGCCCCTTACAGCCACTGGCAGCCCCTCAACGGCAGCCGCTGTGCTATCCCGACGCCGTGGCTGTGCTATCCCGACGCCGTGGCTGTGCTCTCCAGAGCATGATCCGGGAACGTGCAGGAGGCGGCCTTCTGTGCCCGGCTTTCGCACTGCTCCTCGGCTCCCAGGACAGGCTTCCAGTCACTGCATGTAACAGTAGTCAGGTCCTGTGCTGGCGATCCCGAACATTCAAGTTCAGGTTTGTCTGTGAACAGCGTCTTCAATCCACTGGGATAAATGCCCAGGAGAGCAACTGCCGGGTCACAGAACAGTTACATGTTTAGTTTTTACAGGAACTTCCAAACAGTCTCCAGAGTGGTTGCGCCGTCTCTCACCCTCAGTGATGCATGAGGATCCAGCTTCTCTGCCTCTCGCCAGCACTGGGTGTCTCGGTTTTCATTCCGTTCTGATGGCACCGTGCTTTAACACAGGCTCCCTGAAGGCTGGCGAGGAGCATCTTTTCGCCTGGTTCTTTGCCGTCTGTACACCCTCCTTAGTGAAATGTCTTTTCATGTATTTTGCTCATTTTCTAATTGGAACAAACGTGCTCGGCCATGGCTGTGTAATTCTTTTCATATGCTGCTGAATTCTATCTGTGAACCTTTCATGTCTCTCTCCTAAAGCACATGCTAAAAATAGTTGTGAATTAGGACAGCTCTGGAGCCGCCGCCCTGCCCAGCGAGTTTTCCCCACACCCAATCTGACCGAGATGCATTTCTAAACTGTTTGGTGTGTCTGTTTCTGTGCATCCTGCATAGCATCTACCTACGTACAATTGCATCTGTTTCCTGGTCTTGTCTATACTGTCTCACGTTTGACTGCTGAACAGAAAAGATTTTGAGGGAAGCTGATCAAAAGCTGGAGGTAGAAGTCCTTTGTTCCAAAACGTGAAGACAGAGAGGCTCAGCATCTACACACAAACACCGAGACCCTGAGGCCAGCACTGCCGGGTCCTGGGAGGCAGCTGTGGGCGACAGGTGAGTACACGCCAGCCCACTCCTGAGAGCCTGGATCCCGCTGGGGCATGAGAGGCGCCTCTCGGACGGGGGCTGATTGACGCCTGCTTCCACTGCGCATGCCCGACCCCTCCCCATGACTCCCCCAGCTTCATGCTTCCCTGGAAAGGTAAAGCCACACCGGGTCTCTCACCAAGAGTGAGGACGGGGTGGGGGAATCCTGTGAAACTAGAGGCCCGAGGCTGGCAATTCCTGTGGCTTTAATTAACCACGAGCCACGAGCATTGGTCTATAAACGGAGGAGGTGAGAGGATCTTTTTTGGCCTCAACATTTTTTAACCTTGGAAGAAGGCAGCAAGCTCTCTCCCGTGCAACTGCATCTAAACAGCAGTAGGAAGGCGTGGATTCCAGACAGACCAACAGCGCCCAGCCGCGATGCTGCCGGCACCTTCCTCTGCAGGAGACCTCGCGCTCTCAAGAGGAGGCGCAGGGAAGAGGCACGCTCTCAAGAGGAGGAGGAGGCGCAGGGAAGAGGTGCGCTATGCGCTTAATCCTGCACCGAGACGTCAGATTCTCAGGGCAGGAGCTTTTGTGGGCACCGCACCTAGCACAGGGCCTGGACCCAGTGAGCAGATGTGAATGAGAGGCCTGTGCGCTGGCCTGAGAGGCTGGCTAACTTTCTCCAGGTTCCTAGAAGAAGCCACTTTCAAGGCTTTCGAGAAGTGTTGTGAGCTAATTCATTTGAAAGCCTCTGTGCCAACAGGCGGAGCAGAAAGCGCAGGCCGCTGGAGTTGATCCCAACAAGCAATCTTGGAACTCTTTCTGAATTTATACGGGGACCACCAGGATCTGGCAATTCCACCGAAAAAAAGAGTCAGAACGTTGAAAGGAATAGGATACTGACAGAAGGGAGGTGTGAGGGGACACGGGGGGCTGTGCTCCCTAAGTTGCCTGCCACAGTCCCTCCCTGCCTGCCCTCCTCACATGGCCATCGACCCTCAAGCACTGAGAGGTGAGGTCTGCGCTCCCTCCCCTCAAATCTGGGGTCAGCATGACACCACGTGACACGGTGCTCTGGGGCTACATTGTCAAAGGCAACGCAGCTTCTGGCAGGCTCTCCTGGACACTTGTTCTTGCAGCCACCATGCTGCGAGGAAGCCTGAGCAGCTTCGTGGAGAGAAAGCGCCCAGCCCGGATCCCTGCCATTGAGCGAGTGCTCGGGCTCCAGATGATCCCAGCCAGGATCCCTGCCGCCGAGCGAGTGCGCGGGCTCCAGATGATCCCAGCCCGGATCCCTGCCGCCGAACGAGTGTGCGGGCTCGAGATGATCCCAGCCCGGCAGTCCAGAGGTGAGGATGCCTGCGAATGGAGACAAGCGGCCCTTCCTGACCCACAAAGACGGAAACTCAGACTTGCAAGGTGAACCCATCACACAGAAGGAAACTCACACCCCCAGGTGAACCCATCACACAGAAGGAAACTCACACTCCCAAGTGAACCCATCACACAGAAGGAAACTCACACCCTCGAGGTGAGTCCCCCATCATAAAACGTAACTCAGGGCTGGAACGTAACTCAGGGCTGGGCGCAGTGGCTCACACCTGTAATCCCAGCACTTTGGAAGGCAGAGGCGGGTGGATCACGAGGTCAGGAGTTCGAGACCAGCCTGACCAACATGGTGAAACCCTATCTCTACTAAAAATACAAAAAAATTAGCCGGGCGTGGTGGCGCACACCTGTAATCCCAGCTACTCAGGAGGCTGAGGCAGGAGAATCACTTGAACCTGGGAGGCGGAGGTTGCAGTGAGCCGAGACCGTACCCCTGCACTCCAGCCTGGGCAACGGAGCAAGACTCCATCTCAAAAAAAAAAAGTAACTCAGATTCATGAGGTAAGCCCCCCACACAGAAAGGAACTGAGACCCACGAGGTGAGTCCCCCCACTGCACGGCCTGGCACAGTTTGCAGGGCCCTTGGCTCTAAAGACGGTGGCAAGAAGGTCAGGGCTGCTGGGGCTGCAGCTCAGACTCCCCGTGGATTCGCCACAGAGGCCGAGTCCTGAAGACGGCAAAGGGGCGAGACCTTCGATGGGCAGCGCAGGAGGGTCAAGCGTGTCTGGGTGAACCCAGGTGAGGTGCCCTCGGTGCATGGTGCTGGGTGCGAGGGAGGAAGGAGGGGCCGGGCTGAGGCGGGAGGCAAATGAACGCAGAGAGCTCAGAAGGGCCCCTTCCCAGAAAGACACGTTTCTGGCACAGACTCAAGAAGTCAGCTTCTGAATTACACTGAAGGAAAGAAAAGAAACCAGTTGCATTTTTGACACTAACATCAGCTCCCTGGGGCCACTGCCTTGGAGTGAACGACTTGCCGTCCACTGCTGTGGGGGAGGGGGGCTGTGGGGGAGGGGAGCTGTGGGGGAAGGGAGCTGTGGAGGCCCCTGGTGTTGGGGGGCTGTGGGGGCCCCTGGTGTGGGGGGGCTGCCCGGCGGGGGGCTGGGGGGGCTGTGGGGGCCCCTGGTGTGTGGAGCTGCAGGGGACCCTGGTGTGGGGGGGGCTGCGGGGGCCCCTGGTGTGGGGTGCTGTGGGCAGCCAGGGGTGCCTGGGGAGCTCGTTCAACCACCAGGCAGGCGGCTCTTCTCCAGCACTGCTGCTGCTGAGCCACGCCCCAGGGTCCAGAGTCACCAGCACCGGGGGCTTCGGCCGCCACTCCTGAGCAGCGATGTTGAAGGCGAAGGTGAAGGAGGAGCACCCAGGCCTGACAGCCCGAACTACAGCCCAGCAGAGCCCGGAGGCAGCCGTCCAGTGTGACCCTGTCACTCCCTGCCCCCGGAGCGAAGAGCACGGTCAGAGGAGAGCCCACAAGCACTCCAACTTCAAGAGCTGAGTCAGTCACTGCAACAGCTTCTGCCTCTCCAAGGCCCAGTCTGGCATGTTCTGCCCCTTCCAGCTTGGGAAGTCACACACCGGTCTGGGCATGGGCTCACAGGGCTGGGGGCCGTGGCCCTCCCAGGCTGCATGTGCAGAGGGGCTGACGCCCCAGCCCTGTGCTCTGGGACTTCCTCAGACAAAGGCTGCAGAGTGCACCGCGGACTTCATTTAAACAGAACACCTGGAAGTCCTGTTTATTTAAGTTAACACGCAGCTTCTTGTGGGGGCAGAAGTGGAAGCAGGGAGAGTCGGCTGCCGTGCCGTCTGGATGATTATGGCTTGGCACAGGCAAGGAGCGGGGAACGGCGCCCAGGATGCAGGGCACGGCGGCTCCACCCATTCCCCCGACAGGCAAGCTGTGGCCCAGGCTGCTTCACAGGAACCCTCCCGTCTTTGTTCCTCCGCGTCGCTTCCCTACACCTCCCTGCATGCTCCATCCCAGTGCACGAGGGTGGGTGAGGCTGTACCCTAAGGTGGAGCACCTGCCCTCACGGGGCTGTACCCCGAGGACTGGTCTTGAACGTTGGGAACAGAGATCAGCTCTGGAAAGGAGCTGGGTGGAGCCAGGGCAGCCTTCGTGTTTGGTCTGGGGTGGTCTAGAGGTGACCAAGAATGCAGGCTTTCCTCTCCGATGTCTCCTGAGCCCAGGCACAGAGGTGGGAAACCACAGGGTGCACAGTGTCAGGAATCCAAGGGTCAGCCGGGGCGAGAGGAGGAGGAAGGACGGGGGTTGGCTGGCCCTCAGGAACGGGGGCAAGTTACAGGGCGCAATGCGGGTTCCCTGTTCTTGCTAACCTTGGATAACGATGCTCTACATGCAGGATTCCTAAAGTTCTGCAGTGATTTATCTACATGCAAATGCACGATTTATGAAAGCCGCCATCAAAGGTCCTTCCTAATTAGCTGGTTTCTTGTAAAAGATCTTAAGAAAACAACGACCAAGTACAAGTATCTCAGCGTTTATTTCATTCTCTCAGGACAAACTACACAATGTAATTCACGTAACCACAAACCAGCAACTGCAAATTAAGATTTTTGTAGGTCATGATTTCTAAAAAATCCAGCCACGCAATAACAGCCTTTCTAAAGCTGACTTTGTTTTAGTGAAACAAAACTGTGATGACATCCCTAAGCTTCCTCCAGAAGAGCTTCGACGTGGAGAAACGGGGTGGACGCTCCACCTAACCGCACCATTGGGAAAAGAGGAGGCACCTGGAGCAGAAGCTTCTCTCCCAAGTGCACAACAGAGCATCAGCGAAGGCAGTGAGAAGAGTAGCAAGAAAAAGGTTTAAAATCATCGATGAAAATGGAAATTAAGCTTGTCTTATTACAATTAAGACAAACTGACCATGTGCATTTTCCCCACATTCCTGTGGGGAATCCCAGCTCGTTTGAACACACGCCACGAACTCCTGGTATCCGTAAGTATCCCAGCTCGTTTGAACACACGCCACGAACTCCTCGTATCCATAAGTATCCCAGCTCGTTTGAACACACGCCACGAACTCCTCGTATCCATAAGTCTCCCAGCTCGTTTGAACACACGCCACGAACTCCTCGTATCCATAAGTCTCCCAGCTCGTTTGAACACACGCCACGAACTCCTCGTATCCATAAGTCTCCCAGCTCGTTTGAACACATGCCACGAAGAACTGCCAAAGGCAACTCCATTAATGAAGCCAATCTGGGCTTGTTTTTCAGTATGGAAATGAAAACATCTGAAAGTATCTCCTCCACTAAAATGTCAACACTCCTAACAAAATTCCTTAGACGTCTGTATGATTGATTCTAAATAGCTGGCAACTGTCATTTCTAGCTGTGTAAAAATCGCTGTGGCACCTCACATACGGACGGCTCAGTCCAGCCACGGTTTCCAGCTCACGGGCCGGCACAGGGTCTGCTCCACCTTCCAGTCCACAGGACCACACAGCTGCAGGGACGCAAAGGGAGCCGTTGGGCAGCTAACGTGGCAGGGACGCCCCTTTCCTCTCCAGCCTCCATGTGCGATATCTCACACCTCTGCAAAAGGCCCTCCTGGAAACCCCAGACTCTGCACTTTCCTCACATAAACTGTCCACAGAAGTCCATCCCGAAGGACATTTTCCCCCATTTTCCCCCTATTCCCCACAAAGGAACTGGACTGGAAAAACCGTCTGTGATCACTCTCTGTTTCCACATGACTGAAACCCCACAGCACCTGTGGCTGGGGTAGAAATCACCCCTAATCCCTAGATCCCCGGGCCCCCCGTCCCACCCGACAAGCAGACACTCTCGGACGTCTCTCCCAGGCAGTCCATGCCTGTAAACTTCCAGAAACTGACTTCCGGAGCCTGTGGCCCCGATTGCCATGGATATGCTGTCACACTCTCACACGTATTTGTGGTTGCTACGGAGAAACATTCAGACATATTTGCGGTTCCTAAACTTTGCAAACACGTGACCCTTTTAAGAATCTGCTACAAGCCACAGAGCTCTCTCCTGCCCTCACAGAAAATGTGCCCCCACAGAAGGCCCTGCAGCCACGCTGGGGCCACTGAGCCCCAGGACCCGACACACCCCCAAAGGAGGCAACCGTGTGGGGCCCTCTGCACCCGAGAAGGTGGCCTGTGTCTCAGTCTGTCTCCTGCCTCACGTGAGACGCAAACCTCCGTGCAGCCGGCTGCACCCCCAGCACCGCCCACCCCCAGCGCACCAGCCCTGCCCCCATCCCAACCCCCCTCCCCCTCAATGCTGCCCCCCCAAACCCCCACACCCTTTCCCCCCTCCCAACCCCCTCTGGTTCCAACACCCAGGCCCTCCCCTTCAGACGCCCCCAGCACACCCGTCCTGCCCTTGCCCCCCTGCCCGACCCCCCACAGGGTGAACTGTCACGAGCACCCACTCTGTGGGGAGCTGGGCTCCCAGCACCGTGTGGGCCAGACCCTGCCGTGACCAGGCCCGTCTGTGACCTGACCAGGATGTGACCAGAGCCGGCCGTGACTGAACCGTGTGGTGACCCAACCGCACACGTGCCCACGACGCACAGCCCCGCGGGGGGAGGGCAGAGGGGCCTGTCCAGGGTGAGCGCCAAACTGCCCGGGGGACGGACACTGTGGGCGCTGGACAGTTATGGATCCCTCAGTGTTAAAACCCAAGTGATCACCGCTGTGATTCAAAGTCTTCTAAAACTTGAGCGAGATCTCTGAGGACACAGTCACCTTCCCTGAAGCCAGCAGGAGCCTCGCGGTGGCTGAGACACCAGCTCCAGGGATCCCTGGGCCATGTGTCCCCACCATCTGCGGTGGGGGATGGAGGAGCCCACGGGGCACTGCTGTGCTTCCTCCCCACTGGGCGGAGGAGCCCACGGGGCACTGCTGGGCTGAGGAGGGGCCCCAGGAAGCCTGGCTTTGGAGGGGCAACTGAGAAGCCGTTCTAAAGATAAAAACCGTAATTTAAGATCGTCTAAATAAGAAAAACGTTTAACTGTGAACACGGTATAGCTCTCAGCCTGTGTTTTCATGTCTAAGGCGCTCAGCTTCTAAAACGCTGATTAAAAACAAACAACACAACCACCTTTGCACCCTACGAAAATAACAGGAGAAAAATCAGGGGCATGTTTTTCTCCAAAGGAAAACACCCTCCAGGGCTCAGAGACATGCCAGCCACAGATCCCTCTCCGTGACTTGACAGTCTCACCATAGCCTGATTCTTTCCACCCCTAGGAAAACTCTTTATTTAAAAAACCACAGTGGTAATTTCACTAAAGGTAGTAACGACACTAAGGAGGCCAGTACTTACGCTCGACGGGTGCTGAACGGCAGCCTCGTGTTGCAGCCTCACCCGCTGGGGCATCATGACGTCATCCTGCAGTAAAGAACACACTTTCCGTTTGTTTGTTTGCATTGATTGATGCATAGACTAATACAGTCCCGCTTTATTGCCCAGGCTGGAGTGCAACGGCACAATCATAGCTCACTGCAGCCTCAAACTCCCGGCTTCAACTGATCCTCTCGCCTCAGCCTCCCAAAGAGTTGGGATTACAGGCTTGAGCCACCATGCTCAGCCCCAAGAACATATTTTAAACTCACATAAAGCAATTCCTACAAATAAGTAAGAAAACGATAGACAATCCAACAGCAAAACAGGCAAGGGCCTTGAACAGGCCATTCAGACAAGAGGATTTCCAGTGGACCAACAACCTCGTCAGCCATCAGAGAAATGCAATTAGTTATGCAGCGGAGAAGGAAAAATAAAAAATGCTGACAATTCCAAGTGTACTTAATTAGGCAGAACAAGAGCTCCCATGCACTGCTGGCTGCGATGAGGACCTGTTACCACTGTGGAGGGGGACCGTCTGCAGTGAAGACCTGCCACCACTGTTGAGGGGACCGTCTGCGGTGAGGACCTGCCACCACTGTGGAGGGGACCGTCTGCGGTGAGGACCTGCCACCACTGTGGAGGGGGACCGTCTGCGGTGAGGACCTGCCACCACTGTGGAGGGGACCGTCTGCGGTGAGGACCTGCCACCACTGTGGAGGGGGACCATCTGCGGTGAGGACCTGCCACCACTGTGGAGGGGACCGTCTGCGGTGAGGACCTGCCACCACTGTGGAGGGGACCGTCTGGCATCTTCCAGCAAAGCTGAAGATGCACTTCCCTAAGACCCTGACGTCTGACTACTTGGGTAGGAAAAGCCCTACTCACACACACAGACATGCTCACGGCAGCTCATTCAAATGTGGAAAGAACCCAGTGAGTGAGAATAGCAGATACATGAATTGTGCATGTTATTTTCAAATGCCATTCAGCAGCTGAACACAACAGAAATTTCACAAGCCTAATGTTCAGTGAAAGAAGCAAGACACAAGAATATACATGGTATTTTCCCCTTATTTAAATTCAAAACCAAGCCAAATAAACCATATTATTTAAGAAATGCACACACAGTGTGTACCAGGGTCCCAATTCCCGGGGAAGCGGGCTGGTGCCGCGCCATGGACCAGGCCACACAGCAGGAGTGAGCGGCGGCCGGGCGAGCGTCACGGCCTGAGCTGCCCCTCCTGTCAGAGCAGCGGCTGCATTAGACCCTCGCAGGAGCGCAAACCCTACTGTGAACTGCACACGCGAGGAATCCAGGTCACAGACTCCTTATGAGCATCTAACTAATGCTGACGGCCTGAGGTGGAACTGTTTCATCCCAAAACCACGCCCCCCCACCATCGGTCTGTGAAAACATTGTCTTCCACAAAACCTGTCCCTGGTGCCAAAAAGGCTGGGGACCACGGATATAAACCATAAAGAAAAGCAACAACATTATAACCTTGAAGATCAGAAGAGTGGTCACTTTTTGGGGGGAAGTCGAGGTGGGGGCATGGGTGGGACAGTCCCTTTAAGGTGCCGGCCATAAGCATTTATTGATCGAGTGGTAGCTACACAAATATTTGCTTCATAATTAACTTGTAAATTAATGGATATTTATGTTTTGTGCATTTTTCTGTGGGTGTATTCTATCTCATGATAAAAAAATTAAGTGGAAGAACAGCAAAGGTTTAAGTACATGAGTAAAAGGTACAAATGTACTCAATAGCAGAAATAAGAATAATGTCATTGGAAGGATATCTGTTTTTAAGTTGAACGCTAAGATGAACTAAAATACCCATATTTATGTCTCTTATTCCCGCAAAACGGCCTTAGGACATTCAGATCATCCAACGAACCATGCTGAGGGAAGCCGAGAGGAACCTAGTGGGGCTGAAGAGAGGAGGCTGGGGACAGAGGGGAAGTGGGAGGAGGGCAGAGAGAAGAGAATAAAGGAGGGTGGAGAATGGAGGAGTGAGAAGGGATGGAGGGAGGAGGGAAGAGAACAGAAGAGGAGGGTGGAGAAGGGAGGAGGGAGTAGGGAAGAGAACAGGAGGTTGGAGAGTGGAGGAGGGAGAAGGGGAGAGGACAGAAGAGGAGGGGGGAGGAGGGAGGAGGGAGTAGGGAAGAGAACAGGAGGTTGGAGAGTGGAGGAGAGAGAAGGGGAGAGGACAGAAGAGGAGGGGGGAGGAGGGAGGAGGGACAGAAGAAGGAGGGAGGAGGCAGGTGGAGGGTGGAGGGAAGTGGGGGTTGGGGAGAGAGAATAGAGGAGGGAGGGTGGAGGAGAGAGGAGAAGGGAGGAGGGAAGAAGGAGGATGAAGGTGGAGAAGGGAGATGGAAGGAGGGAGGAGGGAGGAAGGAGGAGGAGGAGGGCTAAAAACCTGCATATGACCCTGACAGGTATTTCAAAAAGAAGAGCTGAGGAGGCTCAAAGGAACCACAGGCACCACCTAAGGGGCACGTCACTAACCTTCAAACACGGGACCCTCAAACCTTCCGACCCCTGGTCTAGACACCTAATCCCCCATGCCCCAAGCCCAGGCTAAATGTCCTGTGGGAAAGTCTCTTGCACCTTCTAGAACCAGGGCCAGGCCAGTTCTTCTATGGAGTTGGCCCTCAAAAATATTTGTAAGACATGGAGGTCATTAAGTGAAATATCCAGACACAGAAAGACAAACGCTGGTGTTGCCACCCATGTGTGGGAGCTGAGGAGATGATCTCGTGGAGGTAGAAGGATGGCGCTCAGCAGAGGCCAGGAAGGGCAGTGGCGGGAGGAGGAAGGGGGTTGGTTAAAGGGCACAAAACTACAGTCAGGTAAAAGGAGTAGTTCTAGTGTTCGATAGCACAATAGGGTGACTATAGTTAACAATAAGTTATTGTATATTTCAAAATAGCTAGAAGACTTTTATGGCCAGGCGCAGTAGCTCATGCCTGTAATCCCAGCACTTTGGGAGGCCAAGGCAGGCGGATAACTTGAGGTCAGGAGTTCGAAACTAGACTGGCCAAGATGGTGAAACTCTGGCTCTACTAAAAAAAAAAAAATTCACCGAGTATGGTGCTGCACGCCTGTAGTCCCAGCTACTCAGGAAGCCGAGGTACGAGAATCACTTGAACCTGGAGGTGGAGGCTGCAGTGAGCTGAGATCACGCCACTGCACTCCAGCCTGGGCGACAGAGAGAGACTCCATCTCAAAAAACAAAATGAAATAGCTAGAAGATCTGGAATGTTCCCAACACAAATGATAAATGTTTGATGTGATGGATGGTCCAGTTACCCTGGCTTGATCATGACACACGGTGTGCCTGCATCGAGTACCACATGTGCTCCGTGAACATGGTGCGCCTGTATCAGGTACCGCACGTGCTCCATGAACACCGTGCGCCTGTATCAGGTACCACATGTGCTCCACAAACACGGTGTGCCTGTATCGGGTACCACACGTGCTCCACAAACACGACGTGCCTGCATCAGGTACCACACGTGCTCCACAAACACGGTGCGCCTGTATCAGGTACCACACGTGCTCCGTGAACACCGTGCGCCTGTATCAGGTACCACACGTGCTCCGTGAACACCGTGCGCCTGTATCAGGTACCACACGTGCTCCGTGAACACCGTGTGCCTGTATCAGGTACCACACGTGCTCCGTGAACACCGTGCGCCTGTATCAGGTACCACACATGCTCCACAAACACGGTGCACCTGCATCAGGTACCACACATGCTCCGCGAACATGGTGTGGCTGTATCAGGTACCACACATGCTCCACAAACACGGCGTGCCTGTATCAGGTACCACACGTGCTCCACAAACACGGCGTGCCTGTATCAGGTACCACACGTGCTCCATGAACACGGTGTGCCTGTATCAGATACCACACGTGCTCCACAAACACGGTGCGCCTGCATCAGGTACCACACATGCTCCGCGAACATGGTGTGGCTGTATCATGTACCACACGTGCTCCGTGAACATGTACAACGATCCCTAAAAACTTCAAAAATATATTTGTAAAACAAATGAATAGATCTTTAATTCACTTCACCATTTATAAAACACACACATACACTTTTTTTTAATATTTATCACACTCTTCTATGGCTGGAGAGAGAATAGCTAATATTATCTCTATTTTGTAGCCAAGAAAACGGAGGTTTGGAAAGGGTATGTAATTCTTAATACCCAAAGTCTCGTAGCAATTACATGTCAGGGTTAAAATTGGATAGAACGCCTCATCCAACACCATGGTTTTCCACAGGACATTGCTTCTGACCAAGGAACTCACTTAACAGCCAAAGAAAGGTCGCAATGGGCCGGGCTCCTGGAATTAACTTCCCTCTCATGTCCCTACCATCTCGAAGCCATGGGTCGGACAGAGGTGGGATGGCCTTTGGAGGTCCAGTTACGGCACCCATTCAGCGGCGACGCTGGCAGGGCTGGGGCGAGGCTCTCCAGAGGCCGCACTGACTCCAAATGAGCCTCTGGGACATGGAGCTGTTTCTCCCCAGCCAGGGCTCACGGGGCCAGGAATCGAGGGGCGGACATGGGAGTGGCACTCACTGTCACTCCTGGTGATGTACTAGGGGAGCTCCTGCTTCCTGCCCCCTGACGTTGTGGTCTACAGGCCGAGAGGTCTGGGTCCCAGGGGAGGAACACTGCCACCAGGAGACGCACGATGACGCCGCCGGAATGGAAGTTAAGACCCCACCCGGCCCCTTGGGCTCCTCATGCCTCTGAGTCCACGTCCAGAAAGGGATTGTCTGTGCTGGCCCGGGGATTGATCCTGACCACCCAGGGGGAATTGGCCTATGTGGCCACAATGGAGGCAGGACAGAGTCTATGATGCAGGAGAACCCTGGGGCGCCAAATTACTCCACAGAGAACGGTTCAAATAAAATGGCCAGTGCGCAAAGACAGCCAGGCTTATAAGTAAAAACAGACAAAATATCAGAAAACAAAAGACTTGATATATTCAAATTATCACGCACAAAATATTTTTAAAATCTATGCAAGTTGTATTTAAAAAACTAAAAGATATAAGACATGAGCAAGTCATGAAAGGACAAATATTGTCACAGGAGGTCCCTTAGCAGAGCCAAAGTCATGGGGACTGGACGGAGACGGGTGGCAGCCAGAGGCTGGGGCGGGCAATGGGCTGTTTCACGGGGACAGAGCTTCAGTTCGGGAAGACGGGAAAGATCTGGAGGCGGAGGCGGCGGGGGCTGCACAGCAATGTGACTGTACTTCACGCCACTGAATTAAAAATGGCTAAAATGGTAAATTTTATGTTATATACATTTTACCACACACAAAAACTAAAAGACAAACTTGAACAATAGAACTTTTTCTCTTTTTTTTTGAGTCGGAGTTTTGCTCTTCTTGCCCAGGCTGGAGTGCAGTGGCGCAATCTTGGCTCACTGCAACCTCCTTCTCCCAGGTTCAAGCGATTCTCCTGCCTCAACCTCCCGAGTAGCTGGAATTACAGGCGCCCACCACCACACCTGGCTAATTTTCACATTTTTAGTAGAGACAGCGTTTCACCACGTTGGCCAGGCTGGTCTCAAACTCCTGACCTTAGGTGATCCACCCGCCTTGGCCTCCCAAAGTGCTGGGATTATAGGTGTGAGCCACTGCACCCGGCCAAGAATAGAACTATTAGAACTAAAAGACAAATCCCAATTAAGCATAACACAGACAAATTTAATAGCAAAACAGATTTTCTAAAGAGATAGTGAATTTGAACATATATCAAAATAAATTATTCAGAATTCAGCATGAAAAGACCAGAAGATGGAAAACAGAGAGAAAAAAAGAAGAAAAACCAAAGCGATATAAAGTGTAAGAGGGTCCCAGAAAGAGAGAGAGAAAAGCTTACTGGAAACAAGCAAGCTTTGAAGAAATGACGGCTAAGAAATTTCTGAGACCGATAAGGATGCCTGCACACACAATTACAAAGCCCAGGCCAGGCAAGTCCCAGAAAACCCAGGAGCCGAGTCCACTTCCAGGAACGGACGAATAAGTTGCTTCAGAACAATATTTTCCATAGAATAGCTGGAAAAGCTAGAAAAATACTAAAACAAAACAAAATGCCTGTTGAAAGCCACTGGAGACCCACAAAGGCCACAAGGACCAAAGACCGAGGTCTGGAGCGGAGAAGCCCAGAGAGGTGAGCAGGACGCCCCTGGGGACACGATGGGGCCTTGGGGCCCAGCTCACCAGGCCACCAGCCCACCTGCCCATCGGGAGACAAAGTCAGCCCCAGGGGAGGTGATGGCCATCCCGACCATCCGGTTATTTCTAAAACCAGCGTCTCAAAGAGTTACTGATTCTGAGCGCAGTTGGGGAGAGGCCACGGCCGCATGGCACTCCTGCCACTCCCAGGGCTGGAAGGAAACACGGGGTTCAGGGATCTGTGAGGACGGGGACTGGAGAACACCCCGAGTTTTCTGCTGGGACCCACGAGAACCAACTGCATTTAATTTGGGGAAGACAGAGAAAGAGATCATTGCGAAGGGGCATGAAAGGGGCTTCCGAGGTGGTTACATTTTCTATGGTGGCCACAGGAATATTTGCTTTACGATACTTTATAGAGTCATACATTGTGTTCCACACGAGTATTTGCCTTATGAAGCTGTACGTACATTTGTGCCCTACATGAATATTTGCTTTATGATACTTTAATGATACTTTATGGACATCTGTGTTTTGTGCTCTTCTCTGTATGTGTTTTTCTTCATAATGAAAATGATGAAACAAACAAGAATTTTGAACACGAGGTTGTTGCTAGAAGCACTTCTGTTCAACACTGTACTGGAGGTCCTAGTCAGTATAATGAACTGAACCAAGAACGCGGAATAAGTAAGATTGGAATAGACATTGGAGAGGGGTAAAAGGATCCTTATTCACAGGTGACATAATCATTTCATAGTAAATTGTAAAGAATATGCAAAAAAAAACTCTACTAGAATAAGCTAATGTAGCATATTTGCAGCAATAAAACTTGGAAATGAATTGTTAATACCACTTTTCAATAGCACTGAAACCCAAAAATACTTAGAGATATATTTTATTAAATGTTGAAGACCCATACCCTAAAAACTACAAAATATTCCAGAGAGAAATTTAAGAAGGCATAAACACATGGAGAGATATACTATGTTTACGGATTAGAAGACTCAATACTAAGATCCTCAAGTGGATTTATAGATTCAATGTAATCCCAATAAAAATCAGCAGGCTTGACCAGTTCATTCTAAAATTTTGCAGAATTCAAAGGACCTAAAAGAAAAAACGAAAAAAACCAACACAACCATTTTGAGAGCGGGAAGAACAAAGCTGGAAGACTTACAATCCCAGATTTTGAGACTTACTATAAAGCTACACTGTAGCTTTATTACTGCAGCTGCTAGAATAATCATGTAATAGTAATCAAGACAGAGTGGAACTGGTATAAAGAGAAATATAAAGATCAGTGGAACAGAACAGAGCACAGAAATAGATCAAATAGATCCACGCTTTTTTGGATCCACTGATTTTCAACAAAGGTGCCAAGATAATTCCACAGAGAAAGAACAGGAATGCTGGAAAAACCGGACATCATCCAGGAAAAAGAATCCTCAGCCCCCATATACACCATCTTCAAAAATGAACCTGAAATGAACCAGAGGTCTCAATGTAAAAGATAAAAATAGAAGACATCCAACAGAAAATGAAGAAAACTTTGGGGCAGACAAAGGTTTCTTAGGTTCTTAGACGGGACACAAAAAGCACAAATCTTATTTTTCTTTAAGTGATAAAACGGTCATTATCAAAATTTAAAACTTCTGTTCATCAAAAGACACGGCCCCACGTACACCAGTGTGAACTCACATTAGCTTAGCACTGTCCCCGCCCCACCTGCACCAGCGTGAACTCACATGAGCTTAGCACTGTCCCCGCCCCACCTGCACCAGTGTGAACTCACATGAGCTTAGCACTGTCCCCGGCCCACCTGCACCAGCGTGAACTCACGTTAGCTTAGCACTGTCCCCGGCCCACCTGCACCAGCGTGAACTCACGTTAGCTTAACACTGTCCCCGGCCCACCTGCACCAGCGTGAACTCACATGAGCTTAGCACTGTCCCCGCCCCACCTGCACCAGCGTGAACTCACATGAGCTTAGCACTGTCCCCGCCCCACCTGCACCAGCGTGAACTCACATTAGCTTAGCACTGTCCCCGCCCCACCTGCACCAGCGTGAACTCACATGAGCTTAGCACTGTCCCCGCCCCACCTGCACCAGCGTGAACTCACATTAGCTTAGCACTGTCCCCGCCCCACCTGCACCAGCGTGAACTCACATGAGCTTAGCACTGTCCCCGGCCCACCTGCACCAGCGTGAACTCACATGAGCTTAGCACTGTCCCCGCCCCACCTGCACCAGCGTGAACTCACATGAGCTTAGCACTGTCCCCGCCCCACCTGCACCAGCGTGAACTCACATGAGCTTAGCACTGTCCCCGGCCCACCTACACCAGCGTGAACTCACATTGGCTCCTCTCCGCTGTTTTCTAAAGTTGCAGCAGATTCTATACAGCTGACACCAACATTCTTTTCTAAATAATTCCAGGCTAAAGCCGACAAGTCAAATATAGAAGTCAGGTGGCACGTGATAAAGAGATGAGGAAAAACACACTTCCTCACTCAGCTAGCAACACCTGCATTTAATCAGTTACTGACCAGTGTACCATTCTAAATAAAGGGAAAATAGCATGATTCAGGAATCTCTTGGTCACCACCATGCTCTGTGGTGAAACGCTTTGGTCTCAAAACCACCCAAGACAAAGCACGTGGCCTCGTGTCCCCTTTCTGTTAAACGCATGCTGGGGAGGCGCCAGATCTCCTTCCTTCCACCCCCACGTCTCCCGACCTCCAGCAGCTGCAGGGAAGAGCTGGAAGGGAAAGTGGAAACCCAACCTTCATGGGTTAGATGGGCCGATGCTTCTGTAACACTCACTAGCAGTGGGACACGGTGGGACAAAATGTGTCATCACAAAGGAGGTTGAAGTTGCCTTTCTCGATTTTCTGCAAATTAGCAATTTAAAAGTGCTTCCTCCCCTGTGGATTCTGCGCTGGTTCCTTCTACCTCGCCAGAGCAAACACCGGACCGTGTGTCTCTAACACCGGAGATGCCAGAGGGTACAGTGTGGGGAGGACTCGCCTGATACGAGGTCCTGTGTCCCCACATTTCCTGTTGGACCTAAAGGCTAAACAGGGGTGAACGCACAAGAGGTTCCAGGCGTCCACTCCTGGAGGCAGAGTCCCTGATGTACTCAGGCAGCAGAGCAGCCCTCCTGGTCGTCTGCAGAAGAGCCCCCAGCGCAGGCCTCAGGTGGTCCCGGCCACAGCTCCTGGCCAGCTCAGCGGCAGCCTCCGCCCGGGGTCCTCCAGGCGGGCAGGCCCTGCTTCTGAATTCAGCATCGACTCCCTCCTAGAGGTGCTGCTCCACGGTTTCCTGAATAGTTTCTTGAACCGGAAATCAAGTCACCTCCAAGACCACACGGCGGTTCAGACGGAGTTCGCGAGACCACGCACAAGACAGGCGCGGACGTGGCCAGCAGAGCCCTCGCTCATCCGCCTCCAGTCTCCAAGTGAGGTGGGTTGCGTGCGGGGCCTCAGCTGTTGAGGGATAAACATCTGTGTCCTGTGTAGAGACCGGGCTCTCTGTGCGGAGGGAAAAGCTGGCAACTGTGCAGGGCCCCAACCCCACCAGGAGAAGAGGACTCTGGCCCAGGGGTGAATCCACGCGTGTTAACACGCCCCCGGGGCTGAGACTGCGGAAGCTGCGGGTTCCTGGTGTGGGTCAGGCCTGGGTAAGGGGCCTGAGGGTCACGATGCCCGCAACATCGGCATGCCCTGGTCACCTTCTGCAGCCGGACAGGCAGACGCTGTGATGCTGAGGAGTGACCAGAACGCTGTGGCCACGGGGCCTGGGCCGTGCTGCTCAGGGGTGCAAAGCGCTCCAACTCCTGCCAGACACATCGGCCGGCACAGAGGGCAGCAAACGGCTACTGCTGGCCAGGATCAAAGCAGCCGGCAGCTGCAAGACCGCAGTCCTCGTTTCAGGAGCAAGACGTCCCCCAAGGTCGTGGGACCTAGTCAAAGGGCATGGAAGCCAGTCTGAAAGGTCCCTCGCTGGCCAAATCACAGACAGTGTGAACATCACAGTAAGTGACAGTAACTAATGATAACTCAAATAAAACAGAAACCATGGAGTCCACACACACATAGAAACTGTGAAGTCCACACACACACAGACACCGCGGAGAGTCCACACACACATAGAAACTGTGAAGTCCACACACACACGGACACCGCGGAGAGTCCACACACGGACACCGCGGAGAGTCCACACACACGTAAGAAGAGCAGAGTCAAGGCGGGGCTGAGGGTATTCCAGGTGGAGGAGATCACAGAGACACAGTAACTAAATGCAGCGCGATTCTGAGCAGGGGTTTCTCCGACGGCACCACTGGGACAGCCTGGCCCGGCACCGGGTGCCAGTCGTGTCCGGGTGAGTACATCCCTGTCGTGACGGGAGGCCGTGGGCTGCAGGAGAATGTTCTTTGCAGGACGTACACACACGTACTCGGGGTGACATGCACGATGCTGGTGGCCTAAGCCAATGGCTCAGGGAGAACAAAAAGTTCTTTGCAGTATCCTTGAAACTTTCTGTGAGTTCTGATGGTTTCAAAGGGGAAAGAGAAATGAGCAAAAAGATGTAAACACTTTTCACAGAAAAGAAAACCCACATGGCCAAGAACAGAAGACGACGCTCACCATAACCCGTGACCAGGAAGTGCAAATCCAGGCACAGAGAGGCCCCCTTTGCTCCTGCTCAGCCAGCAAAAGTGAACCCCCCGGAATTCTAAGTGCTGGAGAACCAGCGAGAGCGTGGGTGTTCGCAGGCATCACTCTTCCGTGCCCTGGGAGCTGGCAATTCCACTTCCAGGTACAAAGCTAAGAGGAACCCACATGCACAGCCAGAGGTGTGTGGACAGGCCACAGCAGCACCATTCCTCAAAGCAAAAACCTGGTGGCAGCCCAAAAGCCTGTCCACAGGAGGAAAGACGGATGTACACGGCAGGTTTGCTCAGCAGAATGCTGTACAGCAGAGAAACCAAACAAACCGCAGAGGACAGATACACAGAGCGGGGCAGGGAGCCTGCAGACAAACCCACCCTCAACAGACACACAGAGCGGAGTGGGGAGCCCACAGACAAACCCACCCTTCACAGATACACAGAGCAGGGCAGGGAGCCTGCAGACAAACCCACCATCGACCGATACACAGAGGAGGAAAGGGAGCCTGCAGACAAACCCACCATCGACCGATACACAGAGGAGGGCAGGGAGCCTGCATACAAACCCACCCTCGACAGACACACAGAGCGGGGCAGGAGCCTGCAGACAAACCCACCCTCGACAGACACACAGAGCGGGGCAGGAGCCTGCAGACAAACCCACCCTCGACAGACACACAGAGCGGGACGGGAGCCTGCAGACAAACCCACCCTCGACAGACACACAGAGCGGGGCGGGAGCCTGCAGACAAACCCACCCTTGACAGACACACAGAGCGGGACGGGAGCCTGCAGACAAACCCACCCTCGACAGACACACAGAGCAGGGCAGGGAGCCTGCAGACAAACCCACACTCGACAGACACACAGAGGAGGGCAGGGAGCCTGCAGACAAACCCACCCTCGACAGACACGCAGAGCAGGGCAGGAAGCCTGCAGACAAACCCACCCTCGACAGACACACAGAGCGGGGCAGGAAGCCTGCAGACAAACCCACCCTCAACAGACACACAGAGGAGGGCAGGGAGCCTGCAGACAAACCCACCCTCGACAGACACACAGAGCGGGGCAGGGAGCCTGCAGACAAACCCACCCTCGACAGACACACAGAGCGGGGCAGGGAGCCTGCAGACAAACCCACCCTCGACAGACACGCAGAGCAGGGCGGGGAGCCTGCAGGCAAACCCACCCTCGACAGACACACAGAGCAGGGCGGGGAGCCTGCAGGCAAACCCACCCTGGACAGACACACGGAGGGGGGCAGGGAGCCTGCAGACAAACCCACCCTTGACAGACACAGAGCAGGGCAGGGAGCCTGCAGACAAAGCTACCCTCACACCGCCAAGTGATTTTCAACAAAGGCATCAGCACAATTCCATGGAGAAAAGAAAGCTCTTCAATAAATGGTGCTGGGACTGAATATTCACATGAAAAAAACTAACCTTGATATTTACTTCATGCCACATACGGAAATTAACTAGAGATGGACAAGAGACGCCGATAGGACAGTCAAAACTAGAAGCTACCAGAAAAACACAACTTCTCCTTCGGGTTGAGCAAAAGTTTATTAGGAAAAAATTTAACTAGAAAACAGTAAATAAGTTGGACTTCACTGATGTTAACATCTTCTGCTCAAGACACCATTAAAATATGAAGAGGGGCCGGGCACGGTGGATCATGCCTGTAATCTCCATGCTTTGAGAGGCTGAGACAGGAGGATTGCTTGTGCCTGGGAGGCTGAGGCTACAGTGAGTCGAGATTGGGCCACCACACTCCAGCCTGGGTGACAAAGTGAGACGCTCTCAAAAAAAAAAAAAAAAAAAAAAAAAAGCAAGCCACTTACAGGGAAAAAATATCCACAATCTATATACCTGACAAAGGACTTGTATCTAGAATATGTCACAAAACTCTGTAACTCATTAATAGTAAGATAAACAGGCCAGGTGTGGTGGCTCACGCCTGTAATCCTAGCACTCTGGGAGGTCGAGGTGAGCAGACCACCTGAGCTCAGGAGTTCAAGACCAGCCTTGGCAACATGGGGAAACCCCATCTCTACTAAAATACAAAAAATTAGCCAGGTGTGGTGGTATGCACCTGTAGTCCCAGCTACTCAGGAGGCTGAGGCAGGATTGCTTGAACCTGGGAGGCGGTGGTTGCAGTGAGCCAAGATCGCACCACTGCACTCCAGCCTGAGCGACAGAGTAAAACTTCATCTCCCTCAGAACGACCTGCACGCTCCCGGCTCTGGTCCCACGGCAGCCGGGGATAAAAGGTAAGAGGTGAGATATGGGCATTTCATGAAAGAAGATTTATGAATGGCCAATAAACCCACGAAAAGGTGCTCACCAGGCAGGGCGCGGTGGCTCACGCCTGTAATCCCAGCACTTTGGGAGGCCGAGGCGGGCGGATCACGAGGTCAGGAGATCGAGACCATCCTGGCTAACACGGTGAAACCCCGTCTCTACTAAAAATACAAAAAATTAGCCGGGCGAGGTGGCGGGCGCCTGTAGTCCCAGCTACTCGGGAGGCTGAGGCAGGAGAATGGCGTGAACTCCAGGGGGCGGAGCCTGCAGTGAGCCGAGATTGCGCCACTGCACTCCAGCCTGGGCGACAGCGAGACTCCGTCTCAAAAAAAAAAAAAAAAGAAAAAAAAAGAAAAGGTGCTCACCATCACCAGCCATCAGGAAAATGTCAAACCACAGTGAGACACACATCAGAGCTACTAGAATCATGAAAATTAAGGCCGACAGCATCAACGCCGCAGAGCCCACACTCTGCTGACGGGAAGGCAGAACAGTACGAACGCCGGAAAACTGTTCAGCAGGTTCCTTTAAGGTAAAAACACCTTTCCCTCTGATGTGCCAATTCCACCCCTAGGTACTTCCCAAGGTACATCCACAGAAAGACAGACAAGAATGTTAATGGCGTCTTTATTCTAGTAACCCGAACTGGAAACTACAGCATCGAAACAATCTCGGTGCAGTCACAGAAGGATGAGCAAACAGTAAGGAGCCACCAATACACAGCCACCAATACACAAGCTGTAACGCATGACCATCCGGCTGAGTGGAAAGAGAAACACGAGGGCACAGCGTGCGGTTTCACGTACGCATGAAATTCAAGAGCTGGCAACAGAAGCCCTGGGGCTCCAAGTCAGGGCAGTGGCTGCCGTGGGGACCGGAGCCGGGAGCATGCAGGCCGTTCCGAGGGACAGAAGTCTCTGCACCTTGACTGGGGTGTGAGTTACACAGGCGTGTGAGCTGTCAAAACACACATTATCCATGTTGTACACAAATTTCACACGGAAATCCTGCACTTCACTGCATGTAAATTCTACCTCAATTCTCCAAACCTGAATAAACTATAATGAGATGCAACAACGCGGATGGACCTTAACAATTATAAGGTTTAAAAGTTCCAGAATACTACAGTGGTACCCACTTTATAAAGTTAAAAAGAACTGAAGTTAAATTTTTTTTTTCAGATTTGTATAGATACCAGATAGTTATTTTAAAAGGACAGCAAGGGATGATGAGCGCGGAATTTGGGCTGACGGTTACCCAGGCGGAAGGAGGCAGGGGATAAGCATCGTGGTCACCTGTGAGACGTGAGAGGACCGAGCTGGCTCTTGTGTCAGGTGGCAGGTCCATGGGTGTTTGTCACACGATGAAAACAAAAAATACAGGTGTGGAGTCCTAATTAGGGAAGAGAAGTCAGGCTGGGGGGAGCCGGGGAAGCAAAAAGAATTCGCAGATTGGCTATGTCTGCCTTTCCTCATGGTTCAGGACACAGCGCGTCTGCACGAATAACTCACCTAACTCACAATCCTCCTCCACCCAACTTATCACCAGATCCTCGGCTGAGAGGAAAATGCAACTTAGCTCCCTGCAACCCTGGCGTTACCAGCACCGCTCGTGGCCCTCTCCAGCGCAAGCACCACCTTTAAAACCCCCGGCAAGGCTCTGTCTCCTGCCAGTCAGCTTCTCTCTTGCTGACGCGCCCGTTGCTTTCTTGCAACCTATCTTCCTGCTTTCTCGAATAAATCTGCCTTTCTTGACCTACAACTGTCTTGGTAAATTCCTTTACCACCTGCACCACTGGCCTCAGTTAGTCGCTACCCACGAAAACAGGTACAGTTATAATCACAGAGACAAGTAAAACGGGCCACGCGTGAACAAATGAGGAGAATGTGTCCTGAACCAAGGGTCGTGATTAATTTGATTCTGGGCTCCTGAGATCCTAAGATCTAAATTTAAAAAGAAGAAAAAGAAATCATAGTGGAAGTTAGGAAACACAACTGAATAATAACTAGGGTTTTATATTCAAACCTTACGGACACCCCTACAGTACTAAGTTCTCCATGAGAGGAAAATCTTATGTTAGAAACAAAAGCCTGGAGAGGAGGGCCCAGCTCAAGGGTCAGGAACACAACTGCAGAATGAGCGCGAATAAAGCAGAAGCAAAACCACAGGTGGGAAAGTAAAGAAATAAAGGGATTAGCGGAGAAGGAGGCAAAGGGCAGCTGTAGAGGTGGAAAGGAGAACAGCCTCTGACACGGGACAGGCCTTGGGCGCTGCAGGCTGTGCTCAGAGCACCTGCCGGCTTGTGAGGGTTCTAGACGGCACTGCTGCTCGGGGTCTGGGGCACGGCTACAGCCACATCCCTGTCCCCTCGGTTCAAGGATCGGCAGTGAGGATGAGAACGGCCAGGCTTGTCTGTAACCCTCCCCACAGCCCCGGCGATGACTCGACAATGCTGTAGAGCCGGCCGAATGGATGCAGAGCCTTTGGGCCGTCCCCGTCTGCAGCGCCCGCCCCGCCTTGGCCCTTCTCATCCCAGCCACATGGGCCCCTCTCCTCTCACCTGAGGCCCCAGTTCAGAGGCCTCGGGGCGGTTCCGGGAAGGCCATGTGGCTTCCTGTGCACGTGGACAGCCATGCGGCCGGTTCCCCAGTGAAGACGGGAGTCGGGGGACAGGAGGGTGGCAGAGGCTCTCCACCCTGGGAACCCTGAAGGGCGAAGGGAAAAGAAAACCTGGTTGGCTCAGAAGTAAGCAGCGCTCTCACAACCACCAGACCTCCTGGGTGAAGCCGCTCTGCAGATGTTTTCATAGACATTATGTTTGAACATCTCTAAGAGGACTGGAACCCAAATCATTATAATGAATGAGCTATTTAGAGGCTATTTTCTTTAAAAGCCAGGCTTCTTGTTTACTTTGTTTTATTCTACTAAAGTTTCCAAGAACACAGACAACCGAGACGAGAACACAGCAGTGTGTGCCAGGAGGAAACGCCGCGTCAGGCACTGATCCATCAGAGGCCGGCAGGGAAGGGTGTAAACTCAGCGACGGCCGCCAGAGCACCCACGGGTCCCTCGCAGGACCAGAGTCACGTTTTCCAGCGGGGAAGGGTGTAAACTCAGCAACGGCCGCCAGAGCACCCACGGGTACCTCGCAGGACCAGAGTCACGTTTTCCAGCGGGGAAGGGTGTAAACTCAGCGACGGCCGCCAGAGCACCCACGGGTCCCTCGCAGGACCAGAGTCACGTTTTCCAGCGGGGAAGGGTGTAAACTCAGCGACGGCCGCCCAAGCACCCACGGGTCCCTCGCAGGACCAGAGTCACGTTTTCCAGCGGGGAAGGGTGTAAACTCAGCGACGGCTGCCCGAGCACCCACGGGTCCCTCGCAGGACCAGAGTCATGTTTTCCAGCGGGGAAGGGTGTAAACTCAGCGACGGCCGCCCGAGCACCCACGGGTCCCTCGCAGGACCGGCGCCACGTTTAGACAGGGCTCTGCGAGGACTCACCCCTCTGCCCCTTAGGAACCTGGCCATGGGACAGTCACGGGGGAGGCC
Organism: Homo sapiens; assembly: GCF_000001405.40. Lineage (NCBI taxonomy): Eukaryota > Metazoa > Chordata > Mammalia > Primates > Hominidae > Homo > Homo sapiens. The sequence continues at coordinate 70,829 of NT_187612.1, read as the reverse complement.
TTCCACAGCCTTTCCAAGGACACCTGAGGCCACCTAATAGGCTCGAGGACAAGCCGTCTAGGCAGGTGTCACGTGACGAGAACGGTGTGCAGGGAGGCTCCACTCTGACTGCAGCAGGTGTGGGGTGGGTCCCAGGGAGGATGGAGATGCTTCATGAGCAAAAGGTGAAGATCTGTTTAAACCGTCCTCAGTTGCCAACCCTAGAGGTCAGGAACCGAATCTGTTCGACTGTAACGCCCTCTGCACATACTGGATCCAGAGTGAGTTTCAGGTGACGTTCACACTGGTCAGCCGGGCAAAACCCCAACGTCCTTCGAGGATGTTCACTCTCGTCCTCATCAACTCCACAGAGCAGCCAGCACCCGGGAAGGTGCCCACAGGCCCAGCCTCACAACATCTGCAGACCTGCTCCTAAGCCAGGCACAGAAGCTGAACAACCGGGTCAGACCAGGCCAGGCCTCTGACGCAGACCGAACTCGGGAGCTGAACAACCAGGTCAGACCAGGCCAGGCCTCTGACCCAGACCGAGCTCGGGAGCTGAACAACAGGTCAGACCAGGCCAGGCCTCTGACGCAGACCGAACTCGGGAGCTGAACAACGGGTCAGACCAGGCCAGGCCTCCGACGCAGACCGAACTCGGGAGCTGAACAACCAGGTCAGACCAGGCCAGGCCTCCGACGCAGACCGAACTCGGGAGCTGAACAACGGGTCAGACCAGGCCAGGCCTCCGACGCAGACCGAACTCGGGAGCTGAACAACCGGTCAGACCAGGCCAGGCCTCCGACCCAGACCGAGCTCGGGAGCTGAACAACCAGGTCAGACCAGGCCAGGCCTCCGACCCAGACCGAGCTCGGGAGCTGAACAACGGGTCAGACCAGGCCAGGCCTCCGACCCAGACTGAGCTCAGGGGCCCAGCACACCCTAATCCTGTCACCCAAAGACAATAAAAAGCACCATTTTCCATGTGGTGGGTTGAGCTGTCCTTGGTGGATGCTGTCTTAGTGAGGAAAACATTGGATGGACCATCTGAGCATGAAAACATGAGCCCAAGGAAGGGTCAGGAGAGAGGGCTGAAGGTTCTGTGTAAGAAAACGGGAGAAATCTGAGGTGTTTTGGTCTAAGAAGAAAAGAGAAGAAAGAGACCCAGGCACCAGGACAGGAGTCATAGCAGCTGGTGCCGCCCTGGGGGTTCCGCCTTCCCGAGCTGGGCCGATAAATATGCAGTTTTACCCCGTCTGCACACGGGCACGCCTCTCCCAAACTTCTACATGTACCAGGAGCATGTGCAGAGGCTTCTGGTGATCAAGGAAAAGAGCTGGGTCAGGAGGAGAGGAACGGGCGGCTCCCGCGTAAATCCCCGCGTAGGCAGGAGCTCTGGGCCAGAGCGGCCTGGAGACGCTGAGCGGCACCCCAGGAATGCACAGAAGCCCCGGAACCTGGCCACAGAGGAGGGACAGATACAGATAAATGTTCCTGAAGTTTATTTTAAAGTAATTTTTAAATATCTATAGTTGAGTGTAGACTATACAAGCGACTACCTGTTATTCAGTCATTTGTCCTGCTATTGAAAAGTCTTTATAAACATCACAGTGACTCCCTCATGGAGACCTGCCGGAAACTTCTCCACCGTGACCCTCCCGTCCCATGTTAACGTTTCTGTTTTCCATCACAGTCAACAACCTGAAGCTTCTTTGTATCCAAATCGTTCTCAGAGATGCCAAGAAGGAAGCTGAGGAGTGAAGGACACTCTTCAGGCTCTTGATAGAAAATGCAAAGTTACACTATCAAGATGGCATCAACTTAGACTGTCCAAAATACTAAGTTATATGCTTTTTTTTTTTTTTGAGACGGAGTCCCGCTCTGTCGCCCAGGCTGGAGTGCAGTGGCGCGATCTCGGCTCACTGCAAGCTCCGCCTCCCGGGTTCACGCCATTCTCCTGCCTCAGCCTCCCAAGTAGCTGGGACTACAGGCGCCCACCACCACGCCCAGCTAATTTTTTGTATTTTTAGTAGAGACGGGGTTTCACCGTGTTAGCCAGGATGGTCTCAATCTCCTGACCTCGTGATCCGCCCGCCTCGGCCTCCCAAAGTGCTGGGATTACAGGCGTGAGCCACCGCGCCCGGCCTAAGTTATCTACATTTTTAAAAGTGTTATTAATTCAGTTTTTAAAAGAATCTCACTAATCTGTGTTTGAATACAAATGACTTAAATTCTTAGAAAGTTTATTAGTTGTTTGTACATCCACTCTGAGAGTCTGCTTCTGTCCTCTGCCTACTTATCTATTTTTCTTAGTGTTTTGTTTGTTTGTTTTTTGAGACAGAGTCTCACTCTGTCTCCCAGGCTGGAGTGCAATGGCGCAATCTCGGCTCACTGCAACCTTCGCCTCCTGGGTTCAAGCGATTCTCCTGCCTCAGTCTCCCAAGTAGCTGGGATTACAGGCGCACACCACCACGCCTGGCTAATTTCGTATTTTTAGTAGAGACAGGGTTTTGCCATGTTGGCCAGGCTGGTCTCAAACTCCTGACCTCAGGTGATCCATCTGCCTCGGCCTCCCAAAGTGCTGGGATTACAGGCGTGAGCCACCGCGCCCAGCCTTTTCTTAGTGTTTTCTTATCAACCTTTAGAAATCAGTAAGGTTATTCATCTTTTAAGTACCATATTTTCCGATTTCATCCCAGTTTATCTTCATTTTGCTCACATCGCTCTCTGCTGTGCAATTTTACATTTTTATATATCTTACTTACCGTGATTAACTCATTAAGTGCTACAGCAATTAAACAGCAACAACCTATTGACCTTAATTTTTAAGGTTGTCTAATAACTATTTGATAAGGTTGGGCTGTGTCCCCACCCAAATCTCATCTTGAATTAATAACGGATAAGGTTGGGCTGTGTCCCCACCCAAATCTCATCTTGAATTAATAACTATTTGATAAGGTTGGGCTGTGTCCCCACCCAAATCTCATCTTGAACTGTAGCTCCCACAATTCCCACGTGTCGTGGGAGGGCCCTGGTGGGAGGCCACTGAATCACGGGGGCGGGCCTTTCTGTTCTAGTGATAGTGGGTGAGTCTCAGGAGAGCTGATGGACTTCAAGGGAGGAGTTTCCCTGCACAAGCTGCCTCTCTCATCGGCCGCCCCGTCAGACATGCGCGACTGTGAGACCTGCCCGGACACATGGAACTGTGAGTCTATTAAACTTCTTTTTCTTTATAAATTACCCAGTCTTGGCTATGTCCTCATCAGCAGCATGAAAACGGACTAACACATTATTAGTCTAATAACCATTAGAAAAATGATTTTCAAGAACCGCACTAAAATGTAAGATCATTTAATTATTCAACCAACATGTACACATTTATACATTATAAACAAAAGAAAGTTACTTACCGAATCCAAAAAGCAAAGGTACGACCCTGAGCTCTGGGCAACTGCTTGATTTTTAGCGTATCCGACTGTGGAAAAAAGAAGAGCAAAACTCTTTTATAATTCAGTTTCCAGCAGCATTCTCTTTCATAGAGCTTAGTATATGATATTCTTTTTTTTTTTTCGAGGTGGAGTTTCCCTCTTGTTGCCCAGGCTGGAGTGCAGTGGCGTGATTTTGGCTCACTGCAACCTCCGCCTCCTGGGTCCAAGCGATTCTCCTGCCTCAGCCTCCTGAGTAGCTGGGATTACAGGCACCTGCCACCACGCCTGGCGAATTTTGTATTTGGGGGTTTCTCCATGTTGGTCAGGCTGGTCTCGAACTCCCAACTTCAGGTGATCTGCCCACCTCGGCCTCCCAAAGTGCTGGGATTACAGATGTGAGCCACCGCACACGCCCAATATACGATGTTCTATAAGAAAGCTAGGAACATTTTGCACTGCCACCAAAAATGTGGGTCAGCTTTCAAAGGAATGAAAGGAAAGTCAGAGAGAGACAATATTCCACCTTTGGTAGGTGGCATAATGAGAACAAGGATAAAACACAGAGTCCACTGGGTACTTCATTAAAGTCTGACACTCACTGAAGGAAAAAAAAATGAGATGGACCTTTACTGAGTACAGCACTAAGCTAAGTCCTGGGAATATTTTTTTAAACAAAATTAAAATATCCCTGGAAGGAAGTCTGTAAAGTCTACCCTGATGAAAGTCAGGATCCGGTCACAAGAGGGAAGTTGGGGGCTGGCACATGTGTGACGGGCTGGTGGAGGTCACTGAGGTAGACCCTCGGAGGGCGGTTTGCACGTGTGTGATGAGCTGGTGGAGGTCACTGAGGTAGACCCTCGGAGGGCGGTTTGCACGTGTGTGATGGGCTGGTGGAGGTCACTGGGCTGGACGCGTGGTGGGTGATCCTCTTGGCGTGCATCTCTGTGATGAGCTGAATGTGCTGCCAGCATCTACAACACCAGAGTGGGTGCACATCCCATGACCCAGCTCTGATCCTAACAGATACTGTGCGGCGTAAACCCAGCAGAACTTAATCTGCATGGCCACCAAGAGCAGCACTGTCATCAGAGCTCAAAACTGGGAACTACCCAAGTGCAGAACGGAAAAGCTGGAAACATACATGACAAGAAGGCACCCTCCAGGGCTGTACACACAGCGTGGGTGCCTCTCCCAGGCTGCTAAGCAGAGAAGGGAGCAGCTGCTGGGTGGGGGCCCTGGCCCGGAGCACGAGGGCAGCCGAAATTCTTCTGTGCTGTGAGAAACTAGGAAAGCAGCTGCCCTTGGGGAAGGGGGTGACCAGAGGGGCCTGAGGGGGCTTCTGGGGGCTGCGATCTTCTGTTCTTCCTCAGGGTGCCGGTTACATGGTGTGTGCAGCTTGCGAACCTTCATCCAGCAGTAAGACTGTGATGTGCACTTTTCTGTATGGATATCATATTTTAAGAGGAGTTTCAAAAAATCTCTGTCTTCAAAGACATCACAACTGAGCTGGAAAAGGCTGAACGATGACCTGTGGTTAAACGCCAAAGGAACGGGACTGAAAACGGGGATAGGGAGGCCTAAAGGGTCCCTGTTAGGGAGCTGTGGCAAGAGCCTGAGGCTGTTAAGAACGTGAACCAGCAGAAGCAAGGCAGCCCAGGGCAGACCACCGTCCTGGGTGCTGCCCTGTGGGCGGTGGGCAGTCTGGGCAGCCCTCATTATCTGGGGCAGCCTATGTTTGGGAAAGCAGGCACTGGGCAGCTTTGTGGGAACTGCATGTTGGGCTAAGAAGGCTCAACTTCCCCCTGCCAGCAGGGGTAGCCAAGGAAGGCTTCTGAACAAGGAGTAACAAGCAGAAATTCATGCGTGGCAAGCTCAGCTTCGATGCCAATGGCGGGTGGATCAGAGGTGGCATTTAGCCCAAAATGAGGGTGCTGAGGAGGCTCCAAGGGGCAGGATACCCACTTTCCCTAGAAAAGAGGCTGGCAACACCGGACAGTTACAGACATCATGGCACCCAGGAAAGTCATACAAAGCAAAACAGACGTGTGCAGAATTAAGCAATAGATCTCTCTGGTATCCAAATCAAGACAAGCTGCAGAAAGTTGTCTGTTGGAGGGACAGTGGCCAAGTGTGCATTTCGGCCACACCCGTGGCACTCTCCCGTCTCCACTACAAGGAGGGGAAGGCAGGGCTCCCACCCCACGGGGGCTGCCCTGTTCCGGGGGGGCATCGAGCAAGCTCACGGCACCACTGGGACCGCACAGCCGCACAGAAGCGAGACGCACAGAGTCTCCCACCCTCTCTGCGTTCTCCAACCCGGAGCAGTGCCCCTCTTCATACCAGGTAGCAGTTTAATTTCTAGCATTAATCCCTAAAGTTTAGCCAGCTCAACCCAGTTAGCCAGAGGATCCCAGATGTCAAAAAGCCAGGGGCATAAACAGGCGCAGGGAGGAAATGCACCCGGGGAGGCGAGCGCCTGTTCTGCCCTGGGATGGATGGTGGGCCGTGTCTCCAGGGCCGCTGCAGCCAAGCCTCCATCATCGCTGCAGGGCCAGGTGAGTGCCCTGAAGCTCCTCACGAGAAACACAGGCGGAGGCACCTGTGAGGACGAAGGGCCGGAAGGGGCCTTCCACAAGGCACACTGTTCAACAGGGGCTCTGCTCACAATGCGGCTTGTTAGCGTCAGGTTTCAGGAGAGAAGGGTATCCGTGAGCCCGGGTAACGAAGGAAGACTTATCTCACTAAGGAAGCTGGAAGTTTCTCACAATGAATCCTGTGTTTGGCAGAGACAAGGAATTTGCTTTAATATTATTGCCTTGAAGAAAGTCAAATGTTTGCGTGGGGCTCCTGCTTGGGGAGGCCAGTCCCTTTGTGAGGGGATCTGGTTGCCATGGTCTCAGCAGGAAAAACTCACACGGCGGCGAGATATTAACATTCCTTCCTCCTGGAGAGAAGAGTGGGGATTGTACTTCATTTTGGTTTTAGCAAGCGGCGACGTTATTAGGAAAGTGGGGCTCCGTTAGTGCATGAATCGTAATAAGTGAATCAGCCCATTTCAAATACCCAGCACTTCTGAAAAGAGACACTTTGGATCTATGTTATCTAATAGTCAATATAACTCTCCCTATTCAAGAAAAAATATCATTACAGGAAAATACGTCCCTTTCAGCTATAACCAAACCAACCATATTTTATTAAAGTGTAGAATAGGGTCCCCACGAGGTCTCCTTACCCACACTTCAGACAGGCAGCAGGACGGCTCATTTCAGCCCTTCACCTCGGTCCTTCAGAACTTTACAACGGATTGTTTTTATTATTGGCAGAATTCATACAAATGGGATATGCCTCAAGTTAGAGCTAATCTATAAAAAGTACTTTATGAAAAGCAAAATGTTTTCAAAATAGATGAATGTTTTTAGACAAGGAGTGTCACAACAGTCACCAAAATACTTTAAATTTGTTTTCATCCAACTATAAAAGATGCAAAACTCTCTCTAATATTCTTTAACTTAAAAGAATATTAGGCCGGGCGCAGTGTTTCACACCTGTAATCCCAGCACTGTGGGAGGCCAAGGCAGGCGGATCAGGAGGTCAGGAGATCGAGACCATCCTGGCTAACACGGTGAAACCCCATCTCTACTAAAACTACAAAAAAATTAGCCGGGCGTGGTGGCAGGCTCCTGTAGTCCCAGCTACTTGGGAGGCTGAGGCAGGAGAATGGCGAGAACCTGGGAGGTGGAGCTTGCAGTGAGCCGAGATCGCGCCACCGCACTCCAGCCTGGGCGACAGAGTGAGACTCCGTTTCAAAAAAAAAAAAAAAAAGATAATGAAAACAAGATATAACTTGGGAAAAAACATCTTCCAAATACACAAGACGATGATGATGACAGCAATGATGATGACAGACAGCTGCCAACACCTCCTGAGTGCCCGCCGCCCACCGTCCATCCCAGGGCAGAACAGGCACTCACCTCCCCAGGTGCATTTCCTCTCTGCACCTGTTTATGCCTCTGGCTTTTTGACACACTGCTGAGGGCCCGCCGCCCGCCCCCATTCTAGACACGCTGCTGGGCGCCCGCCGCCCGCCCCTGTTCTAGACACGCTGCTGGGCGCCCGCCGCCCACCCCTGTTCTAGACACACTGCAGATTAGCTCATTTCACACCTCACAGCACTCCAAGATGGGTGCTGACTACCACGACCTGTTCACAAATAAGGAAACGGAGGCAGAGCGAGGTGGCTGTGGAGCCGACCCCACCAGCCTGGCCCCACACCCAAGTCTACTTTACTCCTGCGTCTTCTGAGCCCCAAGGCACTGCAGGAGAAGAGCTGGGGCCGGGAGCTGCTCCTGTCCACTGAGACACCCCGCAGGTGAGCCTGTGATTTTGTGAGTCTCACAGATCTGAACAGGACCCAACAGAGGACTTAACTCCCCAGGCTCTCACACGGGGACATTCCAGAGGGACCGTAAACCCTCAGCCGCTTGCCCTTGAAATACGTTGTAGCTGTAAGACTCCCTAAGGACCAAGTCCACTAGAAAGTGGGGTGATGCCACCCATTCCTGAGCACATTCTAAAGTAGTGGCTCCTGATCCTGGATGTGTCTCAGAATCTTCTGGAAAGCTTTTAAAATCCCAATGCCCACGCTGCACCCCAGACCAATTACATGAGAATATCTTAGGGTGAGACTCAGGCACTGGTTTTCTAAAACTCACTGATGATTCTAACGTACACAAAGTTGACGACCATTATCTTAGAGAAGCTGTGACTCCTAAAATCTGTAGGAACCCGTCCACCAACTAAAAACGTATCATCTGCCAACCTTGACTTTTTCAGCCCCGTGCAATATAGGCAGGCATATTTTTTTCAAGTCTTACATGGAAACTTTAAAGTCAAACTAAAAGGACCCTGATCTATTACAATCAAAGCTAAGAACACAAGCTAATCATTCAACATAAAAACAGAGGGTGAATGAAGAAACCTGAACACACCTTGACCCAGCATCATGAAATTTCAAAATTCAAAAGTACAAAAAGAAAAATCTTAAATACTTTGAGAAACAATACCTTTAAAATAACAAGAGTCAGACTGGTATAAGATTTCTTATTAGAAACATGGACACTAGAATATAATGAGGCAATCCCTTTAAAATTCTAAGAAAAATTATTTTGCACCTAGAATTCTATACCCAGCCAATCTGTCAACTGAGCATAAAAATATTCCTGAGCAAGAGAAATAAGCAGAAAAAAAGTTTGAAAAAATAATGGCTGAGGCTGGGCACAGTGGCTCATGCCTGTAATCCCAGCACTTTGGGAGGCCGAGGCAGGCGGATCACAAGGTCAGGAGATCGAGAACATCCTGGCCAACACGGTGAAACCCCATCTCTACTAAAAAATACAAAAAATTAGCTGGGTGTGGTGGAGGGTGCCTGTAGTCCCAGCTACTTGGGAGGCTGAGGCAGGAGAATGGCGTGAACTTGGGAGGCAGAGCTTGCAGTGAGCCAAGATCATGCCACTGCACTCCAGGCTGGGTGACAGAGCGAGACTCCATCTCAAAAAAAAAATAATAATAATAATGGCTGAAAAATTCTCAAATTACTAAAATTTTACTGGAGGAGCTCAAGAGTATATTTAAATATGCAGAAGAAAAATTAGCAAACACAGAGATAGATGGATAAGTCTGAATCTGAAAATGGAGACAAAGAAGAACGAAGAAAGTGAAAAGCATCTCAGAGAAAGCTGGAATACCAATAACTGTACCAACATATGCACAATGCAAGTACCACACGGAAAGGCAAGAGAAATAAGCAGAAAAAAAGTTTGAAAAAATAATGGCTGAAAAATTCTCATATTATTGAAAAACATTCATCTACACATCCAGGAAGCTCAACAAACTCCATGTAGGATAAACACAGAAGATTCGCAGCTAAACACATCATAGTAAAAATGCTGAAACCAAAGATAAGGACAAAATATTGAAAGCGACAAGAGAAAATCACTTGCCACTTACAAGAGACCCTCAATAAGATTAACCGCTTACTTCTCATCAGAAACAATGAAGGCCACAGGCAATGGGGTCACACACAGATGCTCCTCAACTGAGGGTGAGCCTATGTCTAGGTAAACCCGCTGTAAATTTAAAACATCATAAGTCAAAAATGCGTGGGGGCCTGGGAGCTGTGACTCATGGCCACTGCCTGGTATCCTGACAGAACCGTGGTTTCTACTGAATTTGTGTTGCCTTTGACCATCATAAAGTTGAAACATGGTAAGTTGAACTATCACAGGCTGGGGGCCATCTGTATTCATAGTGCTCAAAGAAAAACACTGTCAATTATGAATCCTATATCCAGCAAAGTCATCTTTCAAAAATGAAGAAGCAAGTAAGACATTCTAAGATAAACAAAAACTGAGGCAGTTCATTGTAGGGCTGAAATGAAAGGGCACTAAACAGGAACTCATAGAGAAAGAACAAATGAAGAACAGGGATAAAGTTTACTATTCAGGTAAATATAAAAGATAGTACTATTTTGGTTTGTATTTTTTCCTATATGCTTTTAAAACAAATACAGAAAACAAGCCAGGTGCTGTGGCTCATGCCTATAATCCCCACACTTTGGGAGGCCAAGGTGGGTGGATCACTTGAGTCCAGGAATTCGAGACCAGCCTGGGCAACAGGACAAAACCCCCTCTCTACCAAAAATACAAAACTTACGCAGGCGTGCTGGCAGGCACCTGTATTCCCAGCTACCTGGGAGGCTGAGGCACAAGAATCACTTGAACCCACTGGGTGGAGGTTGCAGTGAACCAAGATCACGCCACTGCGCTCCAGCCTGGGTGATGGAGTGAGCCCCTGCCCCCTACTGCCACACACACACCAGGAAACAATTATAAATCTAAATCTACATTCATGAAAATAATTTATGAATTTATGTTAATGTTACATGATTGAAGCTAAGTGTTAATTCAAACTACATTGTTATAAATTTAAGATGTTCACCGTAATCCTCACAGTAACCACTAAGACGATCATTTAGAAATACACAGAAAAGGAAACGAGAAGGGAATCAAAATGGCACATCGGAAATAAGCAATTAAACAGAAAAGAAGGTAGTAATACAGGATTGAGGAATAAAAAAGACATAAGACATATAGAAAGCAGATAGCAAAGTGGCAAAAGTCCTTCCTTGTCAGTAATCACTTTAAATGTAAATGGACTAAATTCTCCAATTAAAAGGCAAAATCTGGCAGAACGGATCTTGAAAATTATGATCCATCTAAATGCTGTCTATATGAGGAATTCACTTCAGATCCAAAGGCACAAGTAGGCTGAAAGTGGAACAAGGGAAAGAGATATTCCACGCAACTAGTAATCAAAGAGTGCTGGCGTGGCTGTACTAATATCAGAAAAAATAGACTTCAACTCAAAAATTATTAGAAAAGACAAAGAAAGAGTCAATTGATCAAGAAGATATAACAAGCATAAAACTGTACACATCTAACAAGAGGGTCACAAAATTAAGTAAGGCGAAGATTGACTGAATTGGAGGGAGAAACAGTTCTACCGTAACAGTCGGAGATTCAACATTCTACCTTCAATAATGGAGAGAACATCTAGAGAGAAGATAATAAACAGAGAACTTGAACAATACTATAAACCAACTAGACTTAGCAGAAATATACAGAATACTCCACTTGACAGCAGCAGAACACACATTCTCAGGTGTGCACAGCGCATTCTCCAGGACAGGTGACACGTCCGGCCATAAAATGTACCTTAAACATTTGTTTAAAGATTGCAATTATATGAAGTATCTTCTCTGACCACAGTGAAATGAAACTAGAAATAAGTAACAGAAGTAAAACTGAAAAATTCATAAATAAATGAAAGCTAAACCATATACTCTTCAGCAACCAATATGTCAAAGAAGAAATCATAAGGCTAATTAGAATATACTCAGAGACAAACGAAAACAAAAACACAACAAACCAAAACTTTCAGGATGTAGAAAAATCAGTGCATAGAAAGGAATTTATAGCTATAAATGCCTACATAAAAGAGGTCTAAAATCAAGAACCTAAAAGTACACCTTAAGAAGCTAGAAAAAGAAAAATAAACTAAACACACAGCTAGCAGAAGGAAGGAAACAGTGAAGATTAGAGTGAAAATAAACAAACAATGACAAAACAATAGCAAATCAACAAAAAGAGTTGATTCTTTGAAGAGGGTCAACAAAATTGACAAACCCAGCTAGACTGAGAAAGAAGGAAAGACAGCTCAAAATGCTGAAATAAAAAGTGGTACATGACTCCCAAACTTAACAGAAACTAAAAGGATTATGACAGTGTGAAAAACAACATATGCCAAAAAAGTTAGATAACCTAGATGAAATGGACAAATTCCTAGAAACAAACTACCAAAATTGACTCAAGAAGAAATAAAAAAAATCTCAACACACCTATAACAAATAGAGATTGACTCAGTAATAAAAAAAACAAAAACTCCCAACAAAAAAGCCCAGAGTCAGGTGACCTCACTGATGAATTCCACCAAACTCAGAGAATTACTAACACCAATCCTTCCCAAACTCTTCCAAAAAACAAGAGGAAGAAACACTTATTCTATGAGGCCAGTATTACTCTGATACCGAAGCCACACAAAGATATCATATGAATAGGAACCTACAGGCCAATAGCCCTTACAAATATATATATGCAAAAATCTTCAACAACATACTAGCAAACTGAATCCAGCAGTATACTAGAAAGATTTTACACCAGGAACAAGTGGGATTTATCCCAATAATGTGAGGGCAGTTCAACATAGGATATCAATCAACGTAACATACCATCTTAACAGATAAAGGGGAAAAAACTATATGATCATCTCAAATTGGTGTCAAAAAGGCATTTGACAAAATCCGGCACCCTTTCATGATTTAAAAATTCAACAGACTAGAATTAAAAGGAAACCTCCTTAGCGTAAGAAATGGCATTTATAAAAACCTACAGCTAACGTCATATTCAAAGGTGAAAGACTGAAAGCTTTTCCCCTACAATTGCTTGGGAGAACCGAAGCGAGGATGCCCACTTTCACCACTTCTATTCGGCACCGTCCTGGAAGCACCAACCAGAGCGATGAAGAAAGATAAAAGCCAGGCGCGGCGGCTCACGCCTGTCATCCCAGCATTTTGGGAGGCCAAGGCAGGCGGATCACCTGAGGTCAGGAGTTTGAGACCAGCCTGGCCAACATGGCGAAACCCCGTCTCTACTAGAAATACAAAAAAATTAGCTGGTTGTGGTGGCGCACGCCTGTAGACCCAGCTGCTCGGGAGGCTGAGACATGAGAATTGCTTGAACCCAGGTGGCGGAGCTTGCAGTGAGCTGAGATCGTGCCACTGCACTCCAGCCTGGATGACACAGTGAGACTCTGTCTCAAAAAAAAAAAAAGAAAGAATCTAAATTGTAAAAGGAGAAGCAAAACTATCTCTACTCATAGATAATATGATCTTAAATACAGGAAATCCTAAAAACCCACAAAGAACAAACTATTAAAGCTAATAAACTATTAGAGCTAATAATTGTAGGATACAAGGTCAACACTAAGAGAAATCTGTTGTTTATCCCCTAGAAATGAGCACTCTCAAAGAAAATTAAGAAAACAATTCACAAAACTTATCACAAAGCTCAAGTAATCAAAACAATGAGGTACTGGCGTAAGGACAGACATATAGACCAACGGAATAGAATCTGGAGTCCAGGAATGAATCCATACGTTTATGGTTAATGGATTTTTGACAAGAATACCAAGACAATTCAGTGGAGAAAGAATAGTCTTTTAAATGGTGTTGGAAAAACTGAGTATCTACTTACAAAAGAATGAAGCTGGACCTTTGCTTCACACCATACATAAAAATTAAGTCAAAATAGATCAAAGGCCTAAATATAAGAGCTACAAGTATAATTCTGAAGAAAACATACAGATAAAATCTTCGTGACCTTGATTTAGCCGTGGCTTCTTAGAAATGACACCAAAAGCACACGCCACAAAAGAAATAATAGATAAATTAGATTTTTGTCTTCATCAAAATCATAAGCCTTTTGTGCATCAAGGGACACTCTCGAGAGGGTGAAAAGATAACCCAAAGAACGGGAAAAAAATTGCAAATTATATATAATAAAGCTCTAGTGTCCAGAACATATAAGGAGCTCTTACAATTCAACAATGAAAACACATACAGCTCAATTTTTAAAATGGCCAAAATACTTGAATAAACATTTCTTCAAGGAAGATATACATTTATTTATTTATTTATTATTTTTTGAGACGGAGTTTTGCTCTTGTTGCCAGGCTGGAGTCCAATGGTACGATCTCGGCTCACAGCAGAGATCGCGATCTCTGCCTCCCGGGTTCAAGCAATTCTTCTGTCTCAGCCTCCTGAGTAGCTGGGATTAAAGGCCGCTGCCACTACTCCAAGCTAATTTTTGTATTTTTAGTAGAGACGGGGTTTCACCATGTTGGGCAGCTTGGTCTTGAACTCCTGACCTCTGGTGATCCACCCGCCTTGGCCTCCCAAAGTGCTGGGATAACAGGCATGACCCACCAAACCCGGCCCATTTATTTTTTATTATTTATTTTGAGATGGAGTCTCACTCTGTCACCCAGGCTGAAGTACAGTGGCACCATCTCGGCTCACTGCAACCTCTGCCTCCCGGGTTCAAGCGATTCTCCTGCCTCAGCCTCCCAAGTGGCTGAGATTACAGGTGCATGCCACCACACCTGGCTAATTTTTTTTTGTGGTATTTTTAGTAGAGATGGGGTTTCACCATGTTGGCCAGGCTGGTCTCAAACTCCTGACCTCAGGTGGTCCACCCGTCTCGGCCTCCCGAAGTGCCGGGATTAGAGGCGTGAGTCACCATGCCTGGCCCAAGGAAGATATATAAATGGCCAACAAGCACACGAAAAGAGGCACAACATCTTTAGTCAACAAGGACATTCAAATGGAAACCACAGTGAGACACCACTTCACACCCACTAGCATGGCTATAATTTAAAAAACAGAAAATAACAAGTGTTGATGAGGATATGTAGAAATTGGAACGTTCATACATTGCTGGTAGGAATGTAAAATGCATCCACTGTGGAAAAGTTTGGCAGCTCCTCAGTATGTTAAACACAGAATTACAATATGAGCCAGAAATTCTACACCAAGGAATATACCCAAAGGATCTGAAAACCAGTGTTCAAACAACAACTGTACACAAATGTTCAGACTGTCATCATTCACAGTATCAAAGGGTAGAACAACTCAAATGTCCACTGCCTGACAAACAGACACACAAAACATGGTACTTATGTACAACTGCATATCATCCTCCCAGAAAGAGGAACGGAGCACGATACATGCCACAGCACAGAGGAACGTTAAAACGTTATGCTAAATGAAGCCGGTTACAAAAGAGCACGTGGAACCTGACTCCATTCACATGAAATGTCCAGAACAGGCAAATCTACAGAGACAGAAAGCAGGCGAGTGGTTGCCAGGGTTGGAAGAGCCTGCGTGCCACCGCAGAATACCCCAGACTGGGTGGCAGAAGGGGCTTCTCACAGTTCTGGAGCCTGGGAAATCCAAGAGTAACGCTCCAGCAGATTCAGTGTCTAGTGAGGGCCCCTTCCTGGCTCACAGAGGTGCCTTCTCCCTGTGTTCTTACAGAGCAGGAGGGGTGAGGGAGCTCTGAGCGGCCTCTTTTATAAGGGCACTAATCTCATTGGTGAGGCCCCACCCTCATGTCCTAATCACCTCCCAAAGTCCCCACCTAATGTCATCCTAATACTATCACCCTGGGGGTTCCAAATATGAATCTCGGGGTGGGCACAGACATTCAGATCATAGTAATAAATCCCTACCAAAGAATAAGAAACTTAGGTCTATAATCAATCCTTATCAAAGAACAAGAAATTTAGGTCTATAATAAATCCCTACCAAAGAATAAGAAACTTAGGTCTATAATAAATCCCTACCAAAGAATAAGAAATTTAGGTCTATAATAAATCCCTACCAAAGAATAAGAAACTTAGGTCTATAATCAATCCTTATCAAAGAACAAGAAATTTAAGTCTATAATAAATCCCTACCAAAGAATAAGAAACTTAGGTCTATAATCAATCCTTATCAAAGAACAAGAAATTTAGGTCTATAATAAATCCCTACCAAAGAATAAGAAACTTAGGTCTATAATAAATCCCTACCAAAGAATAAGAAATTTAGGTCTACAATAAATCCCTACCAAAGAATAAGAAACTTAGGTCTATAATAAATCCTACCAAAGAATAAGAAATTTAGGTCTATAATAAATCCTTACCAAAGAATAAGAAATTTAGGTCTATAATAAATCCTACCAAACAATAAAAAATTTTAGGTCTACTAAGGTTCTTTCTTTTCTTTCTTTTTCTCTTTCTTTCATTTTCTCTCCCTCTCCTTTCTTCCTTCTTTCCTTCCTTCCTTCCTCTCTTTCTCTCTTTCTCTTTTTTGAGATGGAGTCTTGCTCTGTCACCCCAGCTGGAGTGCAGTGGCACGATCTCGGTTCACTGCAACCTCTGCCTCCCGGGTTCAAGCAATTATCATGCTTCAGCCTCCCAAGTAGTTGGGATTACAGGCGTGTGCCACTACGCCCGGCTAATTTTTGTATTTTTTGGTAAAGATGGGGTTTCACCATGTTGGCCACGCTGGTCTTGAACTCTTGACCTCAAGGGATCCGCCTGCCTTGGCCTCCCATAGTGCTGGGATTACAGGTGTGAGCCACCACACCTGGCCTCTACTAGGTTCTTAATAAGTGGTATATCCAATTACCACCAGGATACTTTTTGTCAGTATTTGAACAACATGAAACTGTTTCGGTACGTAAGTTGATAAGAAACCACGAATTATAGTTTAATAAACTAAGCATGTTTACTTACCGCCTCTAGGAGAGGGAGAATCGTGCCCCCCAATGATCACGTGGACACCAGAATCTTCCAGCTTCACTCTCCATTTTTCAATGATAGCCCCAGACTTGTCCTGAAAGCAGAACACTGGCAGGTCAGGAAACTTCCCTCCGAACAGTCAACCGTTGCTTACACTGGGGCTGAGTCACCCGACAGGAAGTTCCTACAAACCTTACTGGCATCATTGAAAACAGACAGCTCCATGGTACCTTCAAAGTCCTGTTGCAAAACAGACCTCAAACATTCGTCCAGCCATGGTTCAGCGTTGTGGACTGGGAGGATAATAGACTGGAATTCAAAAGAAATGGATTAACAGAAGTGTGAAAACTTAGTTCCCTTTCCATGGCTCTAATTTACCTCCCCTTCACCACCCGCACATATGCCGTGACAAACAAAAGGTGTCCACTCCTTTTCTCCAGGCTCTTAACATGCTTGTAAGATTCTTTACGTCTTAGCTTTCCCTGAACTGCCTTCTACATGTTTTTGAAAGTGAAAAAAAAACTGAAAGGACTTTGGGAGGCCGAGGTGGGTGGATTACAAGGTCAGGAGATTGAGACCATCCTGGCTAACATGGTGAAACCCCATCTCTACTAAAAATACAAAAAATTAGCCAGGCGTGGTGGCAGGCTCCTGTAGTCCCAGCTACTCGGGAAGCTGAGGCGGGAGAATGGCGTGAACCCGGGAGGCGGAGCTTGCAGTGAGCTGAGATTGCACCACTGCACTCCAGCCTGGGTGACAGAGCAAGACTCTGTCTCAAAAAAACAAAACAAAACAAAACAAAAAAACTGAAAGGCATCAAATTGTTCCCAACTCAATGGTAAATCATGAGTTTTCCAATCACTGATCAGAAACATCATTTTGGTTGAAACAAGTATCTGGGTATCTTCCAACTCACTCATGAAAATAACTGGTTGGTTTTTTTTTTTTTTTTCTGAGATGGAGTCTCGCTCTGTCACCCAGGCTGGAGTGCAGTGGCTCGATCTCGGCTCACTGCAAGCTCTGCCTCCCGGGTTCACGCCATTCTCCTGCCTCAGCCTCCCGAGTAGCTGGGATTACAGGTGCTGGTTGGTCATGTTCTAGGTGGAATAAGCATTTCGGCAAACCATGTTAGAAAACCTGCAACAAAGTAACCCCTTTAAGTAACCCCTCAGCCCACAAAAAACAATGTTTTAACAAAGTATCGGGCAGGAGGTGTTCAAAGAACCCAGCTGAGCAAATGGGAGGCCTGACGTCCATCTCTCGATTCCTTTGTCCTACACTTCGTTTCGGGCTAGTGTAGCTAGTGTCCTTTTCTCATTGTCCTTTTCTCATGAAGCCCAAAACAAAAATTTATAAAGTGGGATGGAGTAAAACCAGGAAATTCAATGCCAACAAAACAACTGATTACAGGAGTTAAGTCTTAATTTCATACATTATAATATTAAGTGATACGGAGCGATACTTAAGAGATTAGTCTGTCCTCACCCTTAATTTATATCCAAAAAAGAAAAGTTGAAATTGTGTTGACAACACAATTTAGTCAAGTTCTTTACAAATGAAACCTCACTCTGTCTCTTCCTGGACTTAGGTTAATAAGAATAAAACGAGTTCTGGCCGGGCGCGGTAGCTCACGCCTGTAATCACAGCAGTTTGGGAGGCCGAGGCGGGCAGATCATCTGATGTCGGGAGTTCAAGACCAGCCTGACCAACATGGAGAAACCCCGTCCCTACTAAAAATACAAAATTACCCTGGTGTGGTGGTGCATGCCTGTAATCCCAGCTACTCGGAAGGCTGAGGCAGGAGAAACGCTTGAACCCGGGAGGCAGAGGTTGCGGTGAGCCGAGCTCGCGCCATTGTACTCCAGCCTGGGCAACGAGTGTGAAACTCCATTTCAAAAAATAAAAATTAAAAAAAAATAAAACGAGTTCCCTAATTTATTTACAAATTTACCTTAGTTTGGATTTACTTAGAGGAAAAGAAGGAAATAATTTTTCTCAAGATCTACAAAATATAATGTTTCTATCAAAGATAGACCTTGATTCACCTGTTACCAATTTTAGTAAGACTGGAATAAAAAAGAAAAAAGGCTGGAAAAAAAACAAACAAAAAAACAAAAAACAGAAAACAGGCTGAGCCTTTGGGCGACTGCTAATCCTACATCCCTGTGGTTGTTCCCTGCATCGGCCTATTGGCTGGGTCTGAACCCTGAGGGCCTTTGCTCCAGCCTCTGCCGGAGCACGGGGAAGGTGTTCGGGGCTTAAGGGCAGGTTTTTAGGGCACGTGTTTGGGGTAAGTGTGCTGGGCACACAGGCAGGTGTGTGGGCACGGAGGAGGTGTGCAGGTAGGTGTGTGGGATGCGCAGGCAGGTGTGCACGGCAGGTGCACGGGCAGGTATGGGGCACGGGCATGTATGCAGGACGCAGAGCAGGTGTGTGAAGCAGGTGTGCAGGCACAAGACGTGTGTGTGGGGCATGGGCAAGTGTGCCGGGAATGTGTGACGGCAGACGTGTGGGGTGCGAGGTTGTGTGGGGGCACACGGACAGGTGTGCAGGCAGGTGTGGGGCACGGGGAGGTGTGCAGACCAGGTGTGTGGGGTGCGGGAGCGAGGCAGGTGCGCGCGGCAGGTGCGCGGGGGCGAGTCAGGAGCGCGGGGCACGTGTGTGGGGTGTGGGGCAGGTGTGCGGGGGCGGGGCAGGTGTGCAGGGCAGGCGTGCAGGGGCAAGGCAGGTGCGTAAGAGCGAGGCAGATGCGCAGGTGCGCGGACCAGGTGTGTGAGGTGCGGGGGCAGGTGCGCGGGGGCGGGGCAGGTGCGCGGGGGCGGGGCAGGTGCGCAGGAGCGAGGCGGGAGCGAGGCAGGTGTGCGGGCGCGGGGAAGGAGCGCGGGGCAGGCGGGCGGGGATGAGGCAGGTGCGCCGTTCCTCCACCCCACGACCAGGTGAGGGCGAACGGGGAACTGCCTGAGCTCCGAGCCCGGAAGCTTCAAAATCAGAACGAGGAAGGTCGGTGAGGAGGCCACGCTCGCGGGACGGGGGCAGGAAGCGCAGCCGGAGCTGCAGATCTCGGCCGCGCCCCGCGGGCTCCAATCCCGAGCGTCCCCCGCACGCGCAGCCGCGCTCGCCCGCGGGGCCTAAGGGCTGCTCAGGGCGGAGACCCCGTAGGTGAGCCCGAGAGGCGGTGCGGGGCTGCGAACCCCGGAGCGAGAGAGGACTGGAGGGCGGGGTGAGGGGACGCGAGGACCCAGCCTGCACGGCGGGGCACCTTCCCCGCTGGCACCTACCACGTGGGCCTGCATGGCCTGGCTCTCCTCGGACGCCCCGCCCACGCCGGCTCCGCTCATCCCGCCGCTTCGGCCTACGGCGCCTGCGCGGGCGGCACCAGGAGGCGGGTCTGAGGCCAGGCAATCTCCGATTGGTGCAGAGCGGCGTCCATAGGGGTGGGCCTCCCGGAGGGGCGTGGAAGGGGCGGGGCTGCTCGGCGAGGGGCGGGGCCGGGAGGTCGCCGCCTCAGTCTTCCGCCCTGGGCCACGCCCCGGTCCCGGGTCACCTCTCGGAGCCGCCTCCTTGGCCCGTGGAAGCCTCCTGCTCTCCCCTAGGGCGCGCGTCACAATCTCTGGTCCCCCGTAGACGCCGCCGCGGGGAAGGGGGGGCTGTGCGAGGGCGCCGCGCTGCAAACCCAAGCCAGGCGGCCTGGAGTTGCTGTAAAGCCTCAAGCAAGGCTGATATGTAAAAGGTCGTTGCATTTCACCCGGGCTGTGGGCTGTGCTACTTGACCGGGGAGGACGAGGGGACTGCAGGGCGTCCTTTCAGACAGACGCGGTAGGGAGAGCAGGGCGTGCAGGACACTTGACGGCCCCAGGAGAGGGGTGAGGCCCTGACCCCACCGGGGTGTCATCCAGGAGGAAGGGTGCCCGGGGCGAGGTCCCCCAGGAGAAGTGCCCAGGCCTGAGGCCTTGACCCCACTGAGATGTCCCCCCAGGAGGAGGGGTGCCCGGGGTTAGCTCCCCTAGGAGGAGGGGTACCCGGGAGTGAGGCCCTGACCCCACCGCGAGGTCCCCCAGGAGGAGGGGTGCCCAGAAGTGAGGCCCTGACCCCACCAGGAGGTCCCCCAGAAGGAGGGGTGCCCAGGAGTGAGACCCTGACCCCACCAGGAGGTCCCCCAGGAGGAGGGGTGCCCAGGAGTGAGGCCCTGACCCCACCGTGAGGTCCTCCAGGAGGAGGGGTGCCCAGGAGTGAGGCCCTCACCCCACCGTGAGGTCCCCCAGAAGGAGGGGTGCCCAGGAGTGAGACCCTGACCCCACCAGGAGGTCCCCCAGGAGGAGGGGTGCCCGGGAGTGAGGCCCTGACCCCACCGTGAGGTCCCCCAGGAGAAGGGGTGCCTGGGGAAAGACGTGACCTCAGTAGCTCCGGGTACCCTCCACCTTTGCCCTCATTTCCGCCTCCGCATGCAGCCTTGGGAACTGCAGGGCTGGGAACCCGGAGAAGGCGGCCGGGCTCTGGGGGAGCTCAGAGGTGGCCTTCCCTGCCAGGAACACAGGCCAGGCCCCATCCCTATCTAACCTTATACTTGAGGAGCACAGAGCGGATATCTCCAGATTTGAGTCCTGAACGCGCGGCCGGGAACCCCAGCAGTTCTGAACTTGTCAAGGGAGCAGCCTGCCATGAGGGGTCTCCCAGGCGGCTGTGAGGCCTCTGGAAACTCCCTGCTTGGAGGAGGTTGACTGGGGACAGGGCCGTGGGGGTCAATAAAAAGGACTGCTGCCATTAGCCCTGGGCTGCCTGCACACAGAGATTAAGCCCGCTTGGGATTTGTTCCAGCTGATCTGAAGTAATGAGTAATTCACAATTAATGAGCATGGCTGTAAGCAGCCCTTCCTGGACAAATCCTTGGCTGTCCAAAACTAAGATTAAATGCAAATCATTCTGTCAATTAACCGTTACAACAAAGCCAAACTTCTGTTAAGCATCACTTCATAGATGGTTTTTTTTCCCTTAAATTGCCTCCTTGTTTGCAAAGCCTGTTTTACAAGTGGACTGCTTAAGTCACATGAGTGAAAATGCAGCCTTATTTACCGTTCAGCAAAAGCTATCTGAGAATTTGCTTCCAGGGACTTCATGTTCTCCAGAGGTTGGGGTACTAGGAATCATTTCATTGTAAAGGACTCAGTAAAAAGTAGCCCTGTAGCTGCCAGAATGCGCCGTAGGCTCATGATAAGGTAGGTGGTAAGGGCCAGAGGTCAGGGGTCACAGATGGCTTCTGCCCCTCCACAGCACATGGTGTCCAGAACTGGGCTTGCCTCTCACCTTCCTTCCTGTACATTTCCTGGTGCCAGAAATTTGCTTTTCACTGACTTCCCCCTAATTCAAATTTGATTAGAATCTCCTTTTTGGGAACATTCAAAGTGCCAAGGTGCGTTTCAGAAATGCAGGGTTGCAGAGGTGGGGTCCTGAAATCCAAGGGTGGTGGGGCCTGAGATCACTGCCCTCGCAGTAGGAAGATCCTCGGGGAGAGGTCAGCAGAGGGCCCGGACAGAAGGCACTGACACTGTACCCTGGAGAGAGACAGGAAGGAGGACCTGGGGCCTCAGAGCTGGCCGGGTGGAGATCGTGTGGTCTTCGTTCAGAGGGAAGTGAGGTGCTGATGAAAGATGATTGACGTCACGTGGGCACCAGCAGAGGAAGTGACACAAAACGCCCCACAGCTTTGGGTTCACTGAGTGGGCAGTTGTATTTATTTATTTTATTTTATTTTTGTAGAGATGGGGTCTTGCTGTTGCCCAGACTGGTCTCGAGCTCTTGGCCTCCCAAACTGCTGGGATTACAAGTGAGAGCCATTGCAGATAGCCAGTTTTCTTTATTTTTAATTGTTGTTTGTGCAAAAGGTTTTGGCGAATACTGGCTATATTCAGAGGACTCAGTACCAGTTGCCAGGGGCCTGGAGTAGGTGCTGTGGTCTCAATGTGTGTGTCCCCCCAAACCATATGTTGACACCTAACCCCCAAGGCGATGTGGTTAGGAGATGGAGCTTTAAGGAGGTGACTGGGCCGTGAGGGCTGTCCTCTCATGACGGACGAGTGCCCTTCAACGAGACTTGAAGGAGCCCTTCTGTCCCTTCCTCCACGTGAGGACACATAGAAGGTACCATCTCTGGGGAACAGGCTGTCACCAAACACCAAGTCTGCTGGCGCCTGGATCCTGGACTTCTCAGCCTCTACAACTGTGTGCAATACATTTCTACTGTTTATCAATCACATGGTCAGAGGTATTTTGTTACAGCAGCACAAATGGACCAAGACATCAGGTCTCCAAATCGAAGAACTTCTCAGCAGCCTTCAGTGCTGGGTGGGGAGACAGAGGTTCCCTGCAGGTCCCCACAGACAGTGTTAGACTCAGTGCTGGGTGGGGAGACAGAGGTTCCCTGCAGGTCCGCACGGACGGTGTTAGACTCGGTGCTGGGTGGGGAGACAGAGGTTCCCTGCAGGTCCGCACGGACGGTGTTAGACTCGGTGCTGGGTGGGGAGACAGAGGTTCCCTGCAGGTCCGCACGGACGGTGTTAGACTCGGTGCTGGGTGGGGAGACAGAGGTTCCCTGCAGGTCCCCACGGACAGTGTTAGACTCGGTGCTGGGTGGGGAGGTTCCCAGCAGGTCCGCACGGACGGTGTTAGACTCGGTGCTGGGTGGGGAGGTTCCCTGCAGGTCCGCACGGACGGTGTTAGACTCGGTGCTGGGTGGGTTGACAGAGGTTCCCTGCAGGTCCGCACGGACGGTGTTAGACTGGGTGCTGGGTGGGGAGGTTCCCTGCAGGTCCGCACGGACGGTGTTAAACTCGGTGCTGGGTGGGGAGGTTCCCTGCAGGTCCGCACGGACGGTGT
Organism: Homo sapiens; assembly: GCF_000001405.40. Classification (NCBI taxonomy): domain Eukaryota; kingdom Metazoa; phylum Chordata; class Mammalia; order Primates; family Hominidae; genus Homo; species Homo sapiens. The sequence goes on along the minus strand of NT_187612.1, from coordinate 47,592 downwards.
TAGACTCGGTGCTGGGTGGGGAGACAGGTTCCCTGCAGGTCCCCACAGACAGTGTTAGACTCGGTGCTGGGTGGGGAGGTTCCCTGCAGGTCCGCACGGACGGTGTTAGACTCGGTGCTGGGTGGGGAGACAGAGGTTCCCTGCAGGTCCCCACAGACAGTGTTAGACTCGGTGCTGGGTGGGGAGGTTCCCTGCAGGTCCGCACGGACGGTGTTAGACTCGGTGCTGGGTGGGGAGACAGAGGTTCCCTGCAGGTCCGCACGGACGGTGTTAGACTCAGTGCTGGGTGGGGAGACAGAGGTTCCCTGCAGGTCCGCACAGATGGTGTTAGACTCGGTGCTGGGTGGGGAGACAGAGGTTCCCTGCAGGTCCGCACGGACGGTGTTAGACTTGGGGGACACTGGGTCCCCAGTAAGAATGATTCTGATGTGAGTGCAGCTAGTGAGGGCTGAGTTCAAGCTTTAAAGACAAGAGCCCAACAGGTTCCTTCAACAGCCTGATCCCCTAGACCTTCGTGTGTCCAAGTCTCCAGAGGGGATGAACCTCAACAGACCTGGTTCGACCTCCCCTAGGCAGTGGGTGCTGCCTGGAGGGCAGGGTCGCTCGAGACTGTAGGAGACTCTGCACGTGGTGACCATAGCACCCCCATAATAAAGCAGCCCGTGAGGGCAGCCTGGCTGTTCGGCGATGTGTGCACTGAGGTCATCTCTCCTACTCTGTCTCAGCTATTTAAAGGCTGTGACTCACCATGTGGATTTAATGACTTATTAAGGAGTTGCAGCCCATGCTTTTTAAAAAAGTAATCTACAAAAAAATAAATGAAAAAGTCTTCAGGACAGTAGACTTAAGTGCGGATGTGGTCCCTCGAGTTCCATTTTTCAGCCGCCCACATTCCTGGGATTCAGACCTGTTGGGGATTGTAGGATTCTAGTTGCACAGGGAAACCCAGAGTCAATTCAGGAGGATAATTCTGAGCCAGGGGTGGGGGTACCGGCCTGGAGCTCCGGGGGGTACGGGCTGATCCTACGAAAGGAAAGTCAAGCCTGTGAATTGCAGAGCCTGGACAGAGAAGTTGAGGTGACGGCGTTCTGCAGATCCGTGAAATTCTATTACACGTCAGAGGGAAGGGACGGCCTCATGTGGCCCCTTGGAGGGACCAAGCCCTACCCAGCGCCTTGCCCAAGTCAGCACGCAGTCAGTGTTGGCTCCACCCACCTGCACCGTCAGGCCTTCTGGAAAGAGAAGGAGATCCGACTGACGGAGCGTCTCCAAACTTCCAAGCAAATATTACCTCGTTAAAGCCCAGTGCCACATGACTGACCTGGAGCCACAGCCTGCCCTCCTTCCCTGGGCCTACAGGAAGGGGGAGGTTCCTGTCACCAGAACCGTTCCGTCATCAGCCGGGCAGATGCTCGCTGTGGATTCTAGGTGAGCATCAAGTACTAGGGACCATGTTTGTCTTGGATTCCCCCGTCCCGCCTGAGCCCAGAACGCAGAGCCGGAGTCAGGGGCTTGCACATGGAGCGTTTCACGCCCAGGAGGCTGGGGCAGGGGCCAGGAAGGAGCGGGGAGGGGGCCAGGACCAGCGTGCTCTGCTGAGGGTCCACATCGAGGGCTGGACCCTGGACCTCCACAAGCCTGGAGAATTCTCCATCCGAGCAGTGAGGAGCCCCTGCTTGTTGTCAGCTGGAGCTGCGCCTCGGGGCTTCTGCTGTCCTGGCCCTGGGGTGGTGACTGCAGGATCCCACAGGTGTCCCGAGGCCTGAGGCTCTTCTCACTGCAGAGGCCACCCTGCAGGAATTGGAGTTAGGACCCGGAGGGTGGGACAGGCTGACTCAGAGGAGCCAGCTCTCAGGTTGGCAGGAGGAGGAGATGCACAATGAGACGGCAGCCTCACCTCCAGGGGACGGCCCCGCAAGCCGGAGCTGCCCTCCTGCACACTCAGCACTCAAGGTGGATTTGGAGGTGACCTAAGCCCACAGCTCTCCAAGTCTTGGGGAAATCTACAGTGGATGGCAGGTGCCTGCGGACGCCGAGTGGGTGCGGCCCCAGTTATGCTCAATGCAGGGGCACCTGTGTTGTTAGCAGCTGACGTGGACGGGAAAGGCCTGTGCTGAACAACGTTCCGTGTTCAATTAGACACTCTCCTCCTAAACAGGGGCGGAAGACGTCTCATGGGGGTTCCAAGCGTGATTTATGGAACTCACTCCCATGAGATAACATAACATTTTTCACACGTGGGAGAAAGGGCTGGGCTCGACTGGTGCCTGAGTGAATGCTGAGGATAAATGGGAAGCAGGACATTCCAGGGCACCTCTGCGTCTTGCATGAGACCTTGTGAGGGCCCTGTGGTGCCCCTGATGTCACTGTCGAAGGTGGAGCCGCCCCCGCTCTGCCTCGGCCTCCCTCAGATGTCCTCCCCAGCTGGCCCTGCAGCGCACGTGGAAGACAGCTGCCGAGAAGCAGGTGTGATGCCAGCCTGTGGGAGAAGCCACATCTGGACAGTGCGTGAAGCCAGTCCAGGGGCCACACCGGGACCTGCCCTCAGCTCTGCCACGTCCTGGCCAAGTGGCCTTGGCATGCCAGCCCTGGTGTCCACAGAGGCATCCATTCCTCATGGCAAAGTGGAGTCAAGTCGGCTGATGCAGGCGAGACACCTGGCCGGCCTGGGGAGCCGCACCAGCGCTCCCCACATTGCACTGCTGACTGAGGGGTGCTCGGTGCCGCGGCTTCACACGGTCAGTGCACAGACATGAACGCTGGACTGAGAAGCCGCCGCGTGCACCTGGCCCGCCAAGTTGCCAGGGAGGCAAGGGTGGTGTTGACGTGGATCACCGAAGGAGCTGGCAGCCCAGCCGTCCCCGTGACTGGATGGAATCCGCAAGCGTTCCTGGGCATCCACTCTGGGAAGGGCTCAGTGCCAGGGCCTAGGGTAGTTTTCAAATTGCAGGTTGTGGCCAGTATACCAGGGGTCATGGGGTCAGTACACTGGGCTCTGACTGGCAATTCCTAAAGATGAAGTGTGAGTCTGTCCCATATAGTAAGAGCTGCATTGATTTGTAAAGCTTGTGTTGGTTTTGCACGTTCTATGCCAGTGTGTGCTGGACCGTGATAGAAAGCGCATTTCTCGCTGTGGTGCCTGCCGTAGTCTGGAGGGAAAGATGAGTCCGTGGCTCTAATGTGGGGTGGTGGGTGTGGTCTACACAGGGAGAGCGAAGAGCCCACATGGGGCATGAGAGGGGCCGGAGAGGCTGGGGCAGGGGAACCCGGGCCAGGTCCTGAGAACAAATGGGGTTATTCAGCTCCTAAAGGTGCAGGACTCAGCCCAAAGTCCCTGGTGACCCAAAGAGGACCATGTGAGTCTGATGTGGCTGTGGAAGGCGGGGCTCACAGCAGGCTGCCGGGGCACCATTAATGGGGGAGGGTCCTGTCCCCAGCGCATACGTAGACGGCCCTTCAGAACCTGCTCAGTGGTCAGTGCGGCCGTGCAGCTGCACCCCGGCCTGGTCACCTGTGCTGTGCCCAGCAAGGAAGATGCCCCCGCTCAGCCCGTCCATGCACCCTCCAGAGGCTGTTAGCTGCCTGAGACCCACACTGGCTCTTGCAGGCTAGAGGAGAGTTCAATGGCCATTCGGGCCCTGTCGCCATGGAAACACCAACTTTGGGTACCAAAAGCCTGAATGTACAAATTCATGGAGTATGACCTGCCTGGTGCCAGTGGGTCTTTGCATTTTTCTGGGGTGCCAGTGGGTCTTTGCGTTTTTCTGGGGTGCCAGTGGGTCTTTGCGTTTTTCTGATGCCCTCTGAACTCTTAGGTCCCGGTTCTGGCGGATTTGGCCCAGGCACCCCCAGCCCCCAGGTAGGAGGCACAACCCTGCTCCCAATGCCCAACACCTGCCCCCAATGCCCAACACCTGCCCCACACACCTGAGGTACCTCCTGGGCGTCCCACACCAGGACAGGCCTGGAGACTTCCAGCCACTGCCACCTGGCACACCCAGCACCTGCAGATCCACCACCTTAAAACCCACCTCTACTGCCCCATGTCACGGTCCCTGCGGGGCCAGGCCTGCCTGGCACGTCCACCCCGGGTCTCCCTGCCTCACCCTCTTGCGCATCCACAGTGAACAGGGGCATCTTTCCAAAATGCAGATCTGGCCGGGTGCGGCGGCTCATGCCTGTAATCCCAGCACTTTGGGAGGCCGAAGCAGGTGGATCACATGAAGTCAGAAGTTGGAGACTAGCCTGGCCAACATGGTAAAACCCCGTCTCTACTAAATGTATAAAAACTAGTGGGATGTGGTGGCGGCTAACTGTAATCCCAGCTTCTTGGGAGGCCGAGGCACAAGAATTGCTTGAACCCGAGAGGCAGAAGTTGCAGCAAGCTGAGATCTCACCACTGCACTCTAGCCTGGGCAACATAGCAAGACTCTGTCTCAAAAACAAACAAACAAAATGCAGATTGAATCCAGGCTCACCTGGTGACAGCTGTCCATATCCCCACCCTTTCAGGACAGCATGGCTGCCCTTTTGTGGGTGGTTCCAGCTACCCAGACCCTGTCCTTCTCAACACCCCCTCATTAAGGTAGGACCCTAAAGTGAATTCCTCCTTGTCCTTCAAAGCCAGCCTCCAGCATCGCCTCCTCTGGGATCTTCTCTGACTTCCCAGTCGGTTTCAGAAGCCTCTGATGACCCCATGCGGAGAAGACTGCTCCCCTCACTGCTGGCACACGGCAGATGCTCAGTAAGTATCGTTCAATGACTGACTAAATGTCTCATAATATCCTTCATAAACAAGGGCCTGGTGTGGATTCATAAATGGGTCTCTCAAAGTTTAATTGGTGAGACTCTGTTGTATCAGACAATGAAGGGTTAAAAGATAATATTCAAAAAAGTAAAATCATGACACACAAATCTAGAATGAACACACATTGATAAGGTTTGGATCTGTGTCCTCACCCAAACCTCATGTCGAACTGGGATCCCCCGTGTCAGAGGCGGCCGCGTGGGAGGTGACCGGATCGCGGGTGGACCCTTCATGAAGGGTTCAGCACCATCCCCTTGGTGCTGTCCTGGGACAGAGTTCTCTTGCGATCTGGTTGTTTAAACGTGTGTGGCCCCTTCCCCCTCTCTTTTCCTCCTCCTCCTGCCGTGGGAGACACTTGCTCCAGCTTCGCCTTCCGCCGCGAGTTGAAGCTCCCCGAGGCCTCCTCAGAAGCAGAAGCCACCACGCTTCCTGTACAGCCTGTGGGACCCGGAGCCAGTTCAACCTCTTTTCTTTATAAATTACCCAGACTCGGCCGGGCACGGTGGCTCACGCCTGTAATCCCAGCACTTTGTTGAGACCGAGGCAGGCAGATCACGAGGTCAGGAGATCGAGAACATCCTGGCTAACACGGTGAAACCCCGTCTCTACTAAAAATACAAAAAATTAGCCGGGCGTGGTGGCGGGCGCCTGTGGTCCCAGCTACTCGGGAGGCTGAGGCAGGAGAATGGTGTGAACCCGGGAGGCGGAGCTTGCAGTGAGCCGAGATCCCGCCACTGCACTCCAGCCTGGGCAGCAGAGCGAGACTCCATCTCAACAAATAATAATAATAAAATAAATAAATAAATAAATAAATAAATAAATAAATAAATAAATTGCCCAGACTCAGGTATTTCTGGATAGCGATGCGAGAATGGACTAATACACGTGTTAAGTCAAAAGTTTTATTTAACTTATTAATTCATGAGGGAAGCAGGAAGATATTAAAACTGGTTCAAAGGAAAATCCACAGGTTTAGGCAATCGAGCTGAAACGAACTTGCTAATACAGTCGTCCCCCGTATCCCCGACTTGAGTTGTCTGTGCTCAACTGCAGAAAACAGGTGAGTACAGCACAGTAAGATACCTTGAGAGAGAGGGAGATCCCACATTCACATAATTTTTATCACCATAGATTGTTGTAATTGCTGTTTATGATTGGTGATTGTTAATCTCTTACTGTGCCTATTTTACAAATTAAACTTTATCAAAGGGCTGTACATATAGGACAAAACATAGTCTATACAGGGTTCAACACTATCCAAGGTTTCAGGCATCCACTGGAGTGCTTGGAACGCATCCCCCAAGTCATCACCAAACCAGCCAATATCCACAGGGCCTGAAACCTCCCCTTTGGATTCTCTCTTCCATTGGTGGAAATCAGCCGTGTCTCCACTGACAAGTGTCCTTGCACCTCCGTGGGCTCCTGTGTGTGGCCGTCACCTTTCTGGTGTGCAGGGAACTGTCTCACAGCTCCATTAAAGATGAGGAAGGCGCCGATCACTGCAGCACCAGAGAACCCAGGGGTTCGCCTGGCCCCCCACTGAAAGGATGCCCAGAAACCTCCTCACCCATTTTAATGTCTTTCCCACATTTTCCTGATGAAGACTCAGCACAGACGCTCACAGCATCATTGGGCACAACTGGGTCTGGTGGCAGAAGGCCCGGAGGGTGCACGGCCCCCTCCTGAGGCAGGTGTGCGGTGCTGGGGAAAGGCGGAGCACGAGGGCTGAGCTCTGGCCGTGGGACCCACCCAGCAGTCTCCCCTCTGGGGCAGGGAGGGGCAGTGAGAGCGTGGGGAAGGCAGGGAGGGGAGCCCAACGGTCCACCCTGGGAGGAGCCATCAGCCCCCATCCCTCAACCAGGCGTCTCCACAGGCCACCAGGGCCATAAAGGCAGGTAGGACCCACACCTGCTGATGGGGAACTGCACCAGCAGCCACCCAGAAACCCGAGGCCTGTACGGTATTCCGTGCCGGGGAGGGCCAGCACTCAGCCCCCAGCTGCTTCCCTGAACCCCACGGTCTGAGGCTGTGTCAAAGCTTCCCCAGTGTTTCCTGGAAGACGCTCCTCCATGGATCCCTTGCTCCTGCCCATCTTGCTGGGCCAGGAATGCAAACTCCAATGGCTGCCCCGGGGTCGTTTCTCAGGGGGGTGTGCACGGGTGTGTGCACGGTGACCGATGCCTCTCTCTGGGACGAAGAGCTGGCACACTGTCTGCCTGCTGTACAGCAGCGGCTTCCCAGAGCTGAGGGCCTCTCCTGTGGGCAGTCCCCTGTGTGGGCAGCATCTGTCTGAGCCCCCGCACATCGCTGCTGGGGAAGGGGCTTGGGAGCCCACTCAAGGTGCTGACCCTCTGGTTCTGCTTTTGCTGTGAGTGATTAAGATCCTCTATCTCTGACCCCAGCAGTCTGGTGCTTCCTGCCAGCACCCACGAAACAGGCAGGCTTGTTAGCCCGAAAGTAAAATCTCAGGCCCCTGCACAGTTCAGACGGCATCCAGCACAGTTGGGGCTGGGCCCTGCCCTCACGACCGCCAGGGCCTGGGGTACCCTGACCAACTCCTAACTCCCAGGACCTGGCTCTGGGGCCATCTAGCCCAAGTTGTCCTAAGCTACGAAAGGCGATGAGGCAGCCCAGCTTATGAAGCTCTGGCTCATGCACAGACACACTTTACCCCTCCGTGCCTTAGGACTGTCCCCAGCACCTGCCTGTCCTTTTTGCAGGAGATCGTTCTGCTAAGTGGTCTCCAGCTCTGTGTCTCTAAACTGACCTCCTGTTGGGGCAGGGACAGGGTCTTCTTGTCTACTGCCAACTCCCCGTGGCTGGCAGAGTCCAGTGATCACGTGAGCCGGTTACTGCCGCGGCGCCAGGATGAGGCAGCTGGGAACATCCCAAGCAGCAGCTTGAGGAGGGAGAAGTTTCCTTAGGATGGGGTGTGGGAGGGTCTCCGACCAAGCTCCTTGAGAAGCAAGGCCTCAGCCTCTTCACACCCGCAAGGAGGGACGGCAGGCGTAGACTCCAGGGCAGGCTGCGTGTCCGGGCAGTCCCAGCCCTGTTAGCACATGCCCCAGGGCCACACAGCACAGAGACCCCACACAGGGAGGTCTCCCTCCCTGCTCTCCCCCTCACCCTGGCCCCTAAAGTCCTGCTGTTTATTTGGTTGGTTCTGGAAGGAGCGCCATGGCTGCGTAGCTTTGCTGTGCACCGTGCAGGGCGGCGGCCAGCACAGCTTGGTGCCCAGGAACTGCTGACGGACCGAAGGAGGAGCGCCTGAGACAGTGCCAGCGAATAGGCCCCTGCAGCAAACATTACGACTGCGCTTACACCTACATCTAGTTAGATACGGATTCTATTACTGAAGTAACTCAAACTTTCCAAAATGCTTAAGTGAATTTCACAGGTGGGTGTGGAATTGCCAAACGCCAGGTGTACACTGCTGGTTTGGATTATCTGGTCATTTTGATCTGTGAAGTCAGGTAATATTCAGGCCCTCCCAGAGTTTCCATTGTCCTGTTCTATGGTCAAGGCGGGGCTGCAAACCAACCACGCCCCCTCCCCGCATCCCCGGATGCCTGTGGGGGCTGCAGAGTGATCGAAATGTCAGGTAATTCCACAAAAATCCACATTTGGATTTCGGGCTTCTCTTGGAACTGACCATCTGTAACTCCGGCTCACGCTGTCCTGCCGGCACCTGGCTGGGGCTCAGCGGGAGCTGTTCTCTCACTCCTTCCCAAGCCCCGTTGTCCCCCTGGACAAATGGGTGGAATTCTATTAAGGCTGTGAACTTAAGAGAGCTCCGGAGCTGAGAGAGGTGCCGGCCGTGCCGCTGGTGCCTTTGAGAAGCTCCTGGCTGCCGTCCATCCAGGCCTGGCCTCAGACCTGGATCCCTGTTCACCCTGGGAGTGGCCCACCTGTGGAGGGAGGTGCTCCCCACCACAGCCCCCAGCCCTGCAGCCCCTGCACCATCTGTCCCCAGGGCAGCTGCCTCTGCAGCCAGGTCCAGGCCTGGGGAGCTGGAGGGCACCAAGCGGACCGCAGGTGAGGGGCCCGCAGGTCAGCACAGGTGGGTCAGGTCCTAGCCCGCTTGTCATACAGGTCATATGGGACTTAGCCTACTTTCCCTTCTGTTTAATATCTGCACCCCTGAATAGTGCAAATGCCCAGAGGGAGGGATCGGAGGCTGGGAGATCCATGGGGGATTCAGGGGGCAGCTTGGGGGACAACCGTTGCAGCCGTGCCCTGATGTCAGACACAAGGATACCACTAGGCCCTCGCCCAGGCGTCCAGAGAGAAAAGTCAGCTGGCGGCAAAGGCCTTGTTCTCAGGGCCACATGCTGATATTTTAACCAGTTCTAGCTCACCTTGGAAATGCTGATGCCAGCAGGACGACACCAGGTACAGGGTGCAGGTGGGTGCTGGACCCCCCAGGTGGCAAATGAAAGCGCCTGCGGGGGACTCGGTCAGAGGGAGCCTCACAGAACGTTCTGGGCTAAATCTGGTCATCAGACTCGGGGCTGGCGTCTTCCCGACACGTGAATTTGGAGGGTGTGTGAGTCAGGATTCCTGGCTGAACTGGTTTGCACTGGTTTGAAGTCAGGCAGGTTGGCTGGTTGCCCGTGTCACAGGAAGGTGGACAGGACATAGGTGCCGCTGTCAGGAACAAAGCCCCAGCCTCTGCCTGTGACGCCCCTCTGAGGGGGCATGGGTCTCCCTCCCCCGGAGGCCCGGACAGCGGCCAGGAGCAACTGAGCTTCCTGCCAACCTGGTGACCCCAAAGGTCGGAGGGTGAACTCCCTCCAGCTTCAGCAGAACCAGTGTTGATCAACTCATCCCAGTTGGCCTGGAACTCAGAACCGATGTTGATCAACTCATCCCAGTCGGCCTGGGACTTTCCTGATGTTAGCAGGGAGGGTTCTGAGTCCCAAGAAGCGCTCAGTCCCCAGCATGCCCTGCGCGTCGGTCACGGAGCCCCAGGAGGAGCGTGCAGCCCGCAGCCTGGGCCTGGGCACAGCCGGCTTTATCAGCAGCTCCATCCCAGCCCCACAGACAGGGGAAGAAAAGGTTGGGGGCTGGGCAGACAAGACCATCCAGGGCCCCGGCTGGTCACCCAGGCTGAAACGGAACACATCTGTTTCTCTACACTCTAAACACTTTGCACCAAATGTGCGGGATTTTCACACCAAGCAACTTTCCAGTTCTCAGTGGACACCAACGGGGTGTCCCACGATTCAGTTCGACTCTCACACTACCTGCAGGTAGCGCAGACCCCGCAGGCTGGGGCTCCGTCCCACAAGCTGCCCCTCTGCAGGCGACCGTCCCAAGTATCGGGTGCCCAGGGTTCACACGCCTCCGTCTGACTTGGCTACAAAGTTGGGGGTTGCCACGACTCCTCCCCAGGCTTGATAATTTGCTCTAAGTCTCACAGGACTCAGGGAAAAACTCATTTACGTTCACTGATTCACTATAAAAGATGTAATAAAGGATACAGATGGACAACCAGATAACAAGGTGCACAGGGCGGGGTCCAGGAAGGACCCAAGTGCAGGAGTTTCTGTCCACCCCCCACACTCCCATGCGTTCCCCAGTCCAGAAGCTCCCGGATTCTATCTGTTAAAGGGTTTAATGGAAGCCGGCAGGCATGACCAATGGATCGTTATTCAATCTCAGCCCTTCTCCCCTCCCTGGAGGCCGGTGGGACTGAAAGTTCCAAGCTTCTAATTGATGTTTGGTCTTCCCGGTGAGCGTACCCCATCCTGAAGCTGTCTAGGGGCCCCCAAGAGTCACCTCCTTGAACAAAAAAACGCTCCTAGCACCCAGGAAATACCAAGCGATTTCGGAGCTGGTGTGGGGAACCAGGGCAGAGGCCAAATGTATATTTCTTATTCTGTTACCTGGTGCCTGGAGGCCCTGGCCACTTTCGGGTTGGCCGACCTTCGGGAAGTTTCCTGGTCCCGAACGTCTCGGGTCACTGTGGGGTAACGAGGCTCTCGGACCCTCGCCATCTGTCATCGTCATCGCCGCCGCAGGCTGGCCTTCCCTGAAGAGCTCCAGATCGCAGACACCGTGCCGTGCCCGCCACGCAGATGCAGTTTCCACTCAGCCCCACAGTGCGGGCTTCCTGGGCCCGTGTCCGGCTGGAGGAGCACCCCGGGTCCGAGCCAGCCATCCCCTCAAGAGTCCTGCGCCCTGGAGGACACCCCAAATGCCACCCCTGCTGTTACCTCCTGCAGGTTTCAGGATACTCTTACGTCGTTCTCTGTGTTCATCCGCATTTTCTGTCATGAAAGTGAATTTCTTTTGTCATAAGAAACTGTGTTTCTCAGCCTCAGGCTGCCTCACCGGGCTTCACCATGGGCGCGGCTGCCCGCCCCCTGCACACTCACTGTGCGTCCTGGAGGGACAGTGCGTGTTCTCACCCGGGGCCACGGCTTCACCCTGGGCACGGCTGCCCGCCCTCTGCACCCTCACCCTGAGTCCTGGAGGGACAGTGCGTGTTCTCACCCGGGGCCACGGCTTCACCCTGGGCACGGCTGCCCGCCCCCTGCACACTCACTGTGCGTCCTGGAGGGACAGTGCGTGTTCTCACCCGGGGCCACAGCTTCACCCTGGGCACGGCTGCCCGCCCTCTGCACCCTCACCCTGAGTCCTGGAGGGACAGTGCGTGTTCTCACCCGGGGCCACGGCTTCACCCTGGGCACGGCTGCCCGCCCTCTGCACCCTCACCCTGAGTCCTGGAGGGACGGTGCATGTTCTTACCTGGGGCCACGCAGGGCCTCTCAGGGAAGGCTGTGGCAAGACAGACACTCTTCTCAAGGCAGGTCTGGGTGCCTGGGGACTACCCCCTAGGGACCCGAGAGACCCGCTGGGTAGGATCCGGCCCCCTGTCTGCCGCGCGGCCTCCGGGAGAGAGCTGGCCTCTCCGCGTCTGTTTTCTGCCTGTGAAGGAGGCGATGGTGAAGATACCAGCTGTGGGTTTCAAGGGGAGGTGACACCTGCGCTCTGGTGGCCATGGTGTGGACACGGACCCATTGTCTGTTTCCTTTGCGGGATTCCACGCTGGGCTCCTGTTGGCAAGAGGAAGGTCCTGAGGAACTGCGGGGGGAGGCTCGGCCTCGCCTGCCCAGGTGGTGTGGGTGCCTGCGCCTGGGGGAGAGCCTGGGGTTCTCTCGGGACCCGCCTCTCCTCCCAAGGCCATTTCCATGCACTGGACACTGCAGGCCCTGAGGCATCAGGTCTCGCTGGCTTTGCTGGCCGTCCGGAGCTCTGGCCTAGGTGCGGAGTCCTGGGGGTCCTGGGGAACCCACCTGAAGCCCCCCCTCGTGGCCCCTGTGGCAACACTGACCGGGCCTGACCTGTCCCCTCGTGTCACACTGACCGGGCCTGACCTGTCCCCTTGTGTCACACTCATCTTACACTGTGCTTTATCTTGTTACCCTGCAGGCATTCACCTCAACCCCTCCCGTCCCCTCTGGGATGAGCCGGGCCACAGATAAAGGCCTCTTAGCGGAGCTACGAAAAGGATCACTTTAGCCCTTCTGGGAAGGAGGGATTTAGGTTAAGTCAGCTCAGCTTAGATTCCAAAAGACTAGGACGGTCAGCCCAGGACCCAGGCATTTGGGTGACACAAGTGCTTTCCGGCCGGGAGAGCCACAGGCTGTGCAGGGAAAACTCAGTTGCTTTTGCTTTCTGAAGTTCAGGGCTTCCAGCTGGACGTTTTTGGAAGTGCGGGAAACACATGAGGTTTCGCTAAAGGAATGAAGCCTGAGCCTCCACGGGGATGAGAATGACCCAAGAACCTCCCGAAATCCCACCTGCAGGAGGCGACAGCGGGGGCGACAGCGGGGGTGTCCTCCCAGGGTGGGATCCGTGGGGGTTGCAGGTTGGAACTCGGGTGCTCCCCCCATGGCACGCGGGCCCAGTAAGCCCAGCCGTGGGGGCTGCCGTGGTGGAAATCGCATCTGCATGTGAGGACAGCAGGACCCAGCACCTTCCCGCGGTGACCCCAAGAGGCAGGGCTGGCGGCCGCCCTGCCAGAGTCCCCCTCCGGACCTACAGGAGGCATCTCCCTAATTTCACCTTTTTCAGTAGAAAAACATCCCCGAGGTTCACCTAAAACCCCAATTTTTCAGGAAATGGTTGAGGCTGCTTATCATTTGTGGAAATCACGTGTGCACAAGTAGAGAGAATGCAGCGGGGTGGGGACAAAATGAAACCCAGAGAACTTGGCAGGTCCGCACACAGGCCTGACCCCTGTGCTCCTAGGGGTGCCCGGGATGGGTGCCGTCGTCAGCCCCATGACGAGGGTGACTGGGTCAGGTGTCAACCCCCACGGGCAGGGCTCTGTGCCCACCACCCCATGCTGTCAGAGCAGCCCGAAGGTGGCCAGCGCTGAACATGGGGTCCCACCCCATCCTCTCTGAGAGCCGGGCTGGGCCGGGTGGGGGCTGGCAGGGTCTGGCTGTTCTCAAACAGGTCCTTTCTCAGAAGGTGCTAGAAACTGTGTCCCTCACCAAAAGCTAACATGGGTGCCAGAGCTGGGACAAGGGCCAGTCCTTCCCCAACCTGCTGGGTCTCCCACACGCTTCCACATGCTCCCACACACTTCCACATGCTCCCACACGCTCCCACATGCGCACACACGCTCCCACACGCTCATACATGCTCCCACATGCACACACATGCTCCCACATGCTCATACATGCTCCCACATGCTTCCACATGCTCCCACACGCTCATACACGCTCACATATGCCTGTCATGCCCCTTTGTCCAGCGGCTTCTCATCCCTCTTCCAAGCCAGGGAAGGAGGGTCAGGGGCTGTAGTTGCCCCTGTAGTTGTCAGGCTGTGGGCACAGAACCTGCCAGGAGGGGTCTACCCTGAAGTGGACGGGGCCCACGTGGTGGGAGCCGCAGGATGTGAGAGGCAGACACCCAGTGCCGAGGTGAGCCACGTGGGATGCCTCCCGTGAGGACGCTCCAGCCCTGATCCTTCCGGGTCCCCACTGCTGCATGACAGCCTTTGCTGGTGCACAAGCTCACAGCCCCCTTGTGTGCAGGGCTGGGAGGGAGCGTGCTGGGCCCAAAGGTGGCCGGGACAGTCTGCCTCAGGGCTGTGGTCAGGGGCACGGGCTGGGACTGCCCCACTGCGGAGGCTTCTGGCGGACGGGGCGCGGGGAGTGGACGGGACAGGGACGGCTCCCCCCAGCCCAGCCGGTCAGCGCGGGCCTGACCTCCACTTTGAGCGGCGGCTTGGCCTCTGGCCTCTCAGGGTCCCTGCTGAGCTGTGCTGATGACTCCTCATTCGCAGGGGGGGAGGCTGTGGGGCCTTGGGGGCCTGAGACACCTAGAAAGGGTCAGGAGGGGACCACGGGGTGGGCAGGGCTGGGAGGTGGCCCAGCAAGCAGCCTGGAGACATTCAGATGCTGGTCACTCAGGGAGCTGGCAGCCGCTCTGCCTGCCCCTCACTGGACTTGAAAGCAGTGAGAACAGACGATGCCCAAAGACGCCCACAAAAGCGCTTCCTGTTGACATCAACACACTCTTAGGCCTTTCTCCTCCGCGCCCTCCAAGGCCGGCATCGCCCAGGCGACCACTGGACCACGAAAAATAAAGTCATGCCCCCCAGCCCCCACTCTGCCACTCATTATTTTCCTGTTGCCTTGTAGTGGACTCAGCTATGGTTTGTTTTTTGAAATTGAGTTTGAAATCCAGATCCTGCCCCACAGGCACTGGCGCCAGAGTCGCGGCTGCTGACCAGAGCTCTGCAGAGTTTTTGCTGGAAATTAGAGTCAAAATGGAACCACTGTGGGCCAAATCCCATGCAGGGCTCTACACACATGCACACATGCTCAGAGGCATGCACACATACACATGAGCACGCACACACAATGCACACTCGAGCGCACACACGTGCACACAGGCATGCACACATACACATGAGCACGCACACGCTCACAATGCACACTCGAGCACACGCACACGTGCACACAGGCATGCACACATACACATGAGCGCACACACACAATGCACACTCGAGCACGCATGCACATACACACGTGCACACACGACGCCCAGGTAGTCTCAGGGAGCCTGTACCAGCCCTTGGACAGGGCCAGGAAGTCAAAGGGGAAATCCCTCTTTTCTTTTTTCTCTCAGAAACCCCGAACAACAGACTTTGTCAATAAGCATATTCACTTTTGTACTTAAAAAGTATGTTTTTAAACATTTTAATTAGCTCTCTAGACTCAAATAATCATCTTCTTCACCTTGTTTTCTCTGTGACACGCAAAAGGCTGGCAGGCAGGAGGCTTCTCAGAGTCAGGAGGGCTGGGGGGGAAGGTGCTGTCCCCCAACATGTTCTGGACAGGACGCAGACACCAGGCGCCCCACGGCCCTTCATGCTCCGGAGGGTAGAACAGAGCCAGAGGGTGGTGAGGAAGGGGCAGATCCTGGTGGCTGCAGCCACTGCTGTGAGGGGACGGGGACAGGGCTGCTGAGGTCGAGGCAGGGAGTGGGGAGGCCGGAATGGGAGGCCCATGCTCCAAAGTACATAGGAAGCTGGAGCTTCCCTCCCACTGAGCTGGGCCATGAACCTGCCCACGACTCTGTGGGGTTGGCACCATGAAGTCGCTCTCAGATGGGGAGCTGGAGGGTTGATCGCCACCAAGTCACGCAGTTTAGCAGTGGGCACTCCTCGAGCCAACCTGCACCACCTCACTAAGCCCAGCATGGGCTCCCAGTGCCCCTCGGCCCACCTCCCTATCAGCCACGCCCTGGGCCTGGCCCCCTGAGAGGCCCCATGAGGCTGCAGTTGTTTTCTGGGTAAACTGTGTCCCCCCCCATCATTCATAACAATCTCTCTCTCTGTCTCCTTCCCTCTCTTCTTCCCTCCATCTTTCCTCCCTCCCTTCCTCCTTCCTTTTTTCTTTTTTTTCCTTTTTAAATAATTTGTTTTCTCATCATAATAGCAATACCTAGTCATTGTAGAAAAATTGGGGACGATTAAAATTCCACCGTGGAGTCGAGGGGAGACTTCCCCTGGCTCCTGTCACTGTTGCCACACTGCATATAAAGATCTGTGGTTTTGTTTCTTCAGTTCACGTGACCTCATCGCTTTACTCTCTCACTGGAGTCCCTTGTGAGCCTGGTGACAGCAGCCTCATGACCCCAAGCTCTTCCACGTGGGGTCAGGCTGCCCCCAGCCTCCTGCCCTGACTCCTGCTGGGTTGGGTCTCCTTGCACCCCCACACAGTGCACAGTGCCAGCTGCTCCTTTTCCTCACCCTTGCTTGAACAGTTGTGCACGCATGTAGGTCACCTCTTCCAGGCAGCCCTACAGGAGTGCACCCCACCAACACTGACAACCCCCCAGACAGTGCTTAAAGACTGAAACTGCCAGCTAGGATTTGGGGAGGGGTCCCTGCCTCTGTGGGTCCTGTCTGGCTCTGGCCCAGGCTGACAAGGAGGAGCATCTATGCGGGGAGCTGGTGCGGTGCGGGGCATGGTGGGGTGTGGGGGCTGGAGGGTGTGGGGCGGGGGCGGAGGGGGCTCAGTCATCTTTCATGAGCCTGAACTGAGGCCCAGGACGCACAGTCCACCATCCTGGGTCTGGACAGCGGGTCCCTCTGGGCCGTCTCACTTCCGCAAGCTTCAGCGGAGGCACAGCTCTGGCATTGGGGCTGCAGGGACCTCCTGGCACCACTGGGAGTAGAGTGGAGCCCCGGCACAGGCCTGGCCACCTCTCCAGGAGAAGGCACATGGGTCCTCAGGTCCCTGTTGGGACAGCTGGCGCCAAGGCTGGGCCCGCACGTTGCAGCAGGCAGGGTTGGGGTAGGGTGCTCAGCACCTGCCGTGTGGACGGGAGGGACCCCTCCACTCCCGAGGAGAAAGCCCACCAGCTGGCCTCGCTCCTGCCTGCCTGGAGGGGCTTCTGGAGGGAGTGTTTCCTCCGCCGAGTCCAGGCAGGCATGGCTGGAGGAAGAGCGTGAAGCCAGCATCCCTGGGTGACCCTGTGCACTCCAGCTTGGCTGGATTTGGGGAGGCACACCCAGGCCCTGCCCCACCCCCGCCTTCACTTGCTCGGGCCCCACCCCGCTGGGCCCCTATCTACTCGACACTGCGGGGGTCCAGTTCTCTCTCCAAGATCGGCCAAGTCCACGTGACCTGGCCCCCGGACGCTCCCTGCACGCCCAGCCCCACCGACACCCTTCCCCAAACCCTGGAGCCTGGGGACGCAGTGGGGTGTCTTGGCACACAGGTGACTCGGGAGACAGATCCCCTGACCCTGCCTGCCAGTGTGCCTGCCCACTGTCCGCTGAGCTGGGTGTCGCCTGCTTCTCCTCGTTCTGGGTGGGACCGTCTGTCCAAATGGCTGTCAAGGCCTTCTTCACTATCTCAGCGTGGGCAGAAAGGGACGGACATGTGAGACAGCTGCCCTGTGCCTCCAGCGCCCCCGCATCCCACGCACGCTCCACAGCCAGAGCTCTCAGCCCCTCCAGCTGGGGGCAGCTCTGGGCTACCCGGCCTCTTTTCAGGGGCAGGACAGCCGGGCTAATTACCTGCATGGGAGGGCCCCACTGGACAGGCTCCTGGTGAGGGTGTCTACCGCCACCCCCGCCTGCCTGGGCTGAGTCATCCAGGCGCAGCGTCGATGTGGGGAGGGCCTGTCCCTGGGGCTGTCCGTGGAGACTCGCCCTGTGGACTGGAGGAGGAGGCAGAACCCCGCCCGGCGGGGCAGGTCCTGGTGGTGACTGCGCCGACCACGGTCCCGCCCTTCCCCACGCGCTGGGCAGCTGCCCAGCCCGGTCCAGGTTAGGTGCCCCAGCATCTGGACGTCCACCCTCCCCGGGACACCCAGCCCAGTGGGGTATGGGAGGAGAGAGCTCTGTCTGCCCTCAGCTTCCTGCAGTGTGGCTACTCCAGCCCATCTGACCCTGGGCGGTCCCCGGTTCCCGGCTTAACAGATGTTGACAAGGCCTTGCCTCCTTCGGGGTGGTGCCAGGGGCAGAGGGGCACAGCAAGAACAGGGCACAGCCCCTCGCACACCCCCACGTGCCTCCGCTGTCGGCAGGCCCCACTGGGGTCTGGGAGATGCCTTCCTGTAGCATGAAACCAAAGGCCACAGAAGCAGAGAAAAAAAGCTCTTCGTTTCGATTATAAACTTGCAAGAAAAAAGGAGCCCAAACTGTTCAGTGAGACACGCCGACCGATCTGAGCCCACGAGGAGCCCCAGGCAGCAGAGCCCCCTCTTTCTGTTTATTCTAGAGGGTGGCCAAGGTGGCCCTGGGAGAGGTGCCTTCCAGAATTCAGATGCCAGTGGGGCGGGCTGCCAGGAGGGCCACGGAGCGGGGCTCTGGTCTCTGATGCCAACCAGTGAACCCTGGGAGGGACCACCCTGTGCCCTGCCCAGCCTGTCAGAGGGGGCCCAGCCCGGTGATGAGCAGTCAAGTGTGGGGCCCACGGGGAACAAGGCGGCGTGCATTTACTCTATGGAGGGGCACCGTCTCCACACGGCAAGCTGGGTGTGCCGACGGCGCTGGATGGCACCATACGTTGTCCCCGTTGAGGGGTGACTCCTGCTCCCATGATTAGGGCCAAAGGGTCACAACCTCTGCAGCTCCCACGTGGCTCAGGGGAAATGCCAAAACAGAGGAACAGCCCTCGGCCGCAGCCGGGGGATGCGTGGGTGCCCTGCACACTGGCCTTCAACGTTTGTGAGTTTCAGGCCTTCGGTAGTTGGCATATGGGACACTCCCTCTCCCCGCAGGCCGTGGGGATACCGGCTCCTTCCGAGGCGTTTCTGCCGTGAGCGTCCTCCAGAACGAGTGGGCTGAGGCCCTCGGCTGACGTCCTGGGTGACCGCAGACCTGCTGTGTGTGGCCGGCCGGCCGGACCTTAGCACGTCATCACTGGGCTCACGGTCCTGCCCCTGAGCACATCTGACCGGCCGTGGTCAGGGTCCACGCAGACGTCCACCTCTGTGTACAAATCCACCGTGTACTGTAGATGGCCCCTCCTGACACCACCCCGCGGAGGCCGAGGACCCTCCTTCCCTGTGGGGTCTGAGTGCCCGAGATGGCAGAGTCACTACAGCTCACCAGCCCTGGGGCCATGGTCGGTTCATGGCCGGGCGGAGGGTGAGATGCTGCCATGAACAGCTGCTACAAACAACTGCTAGGACGGTGTGGGGCCAGCGTGCCACACAGAACTGTCTCTCACTGCCGAGCTGGCGGCTGGTGGCCTCTCTCCACCTGGCCAACCTGGGGGCAAGCACCACCCAAGGTCACATAGCCGGCCAGCATCGGCCTGGACTTGTATCTGACTCAAGGAAACTCCCTACTCCCACTTTTCTCTGACGCACAGAGAGCAGCACATGGCAGCAAATTAGGTTAAGGAGGGGGTTAGGGAAGAATGACACACTGAAGGTCATCAGGTGGAGGCTGGCTGGCATCCGTGGCTGTTTCGTGTAGTAATTACACGTTGCTCATTGAAGTTGAGTTACAAGCACAGGCTCTCCATGTATCATTCAACCACAATTACGATAATTACGAGAAGGTTGGCGAAAATGGCCTGGGAGGGAAACGGGTGGCAAATGACTTGGGAGGTGGTGGTTGGGCGGGGCCGTGGGATGAACTGTGCTCACGTGAACGACAGACTGCGACGTTCTTCAGTATTTTTCAAATGCTGAAAGAGAAAATTTCATGGACGCGCTTGGGGAAACCGTGTGATGTTTTTCTGGAGGAATCCAGCTACTCTGGGAGGAGCTGTTTCTTTAGTGAGTGGATTCAGGTGACTGGTCATCTTGGGCAGCACATTGGCCGTCAACACACATTTGAAAACCTCAAGACTGGGCCAAAAATAAAAGCAGTAAAGTCCACCGGGTTGTGCCAGTGGCTCAGAGAACTCGCAGCTGTGGGGAGCACGGCGGGAGGGGTTCCCCCCACCCAGCCCCACGAGGGCCCCAAGGCCTGATGACAGCCCGGTGGTGCCTTGAACAGGTGAGAATCAGCCCCCACCTGGGGACGTGGCGTTGAATCCTGACATCGTAAACCCTACGACGCCCTGGGAATCAAGAACAGATCCACTTTGCAGGTAACTGAGGCTCAGAAACAGACTCCAACCCCACCATGTCTGTGACCCAGAGCTGGGGGCTGACGTCCGAGCCAGGTCCGTCCACCACCCCACAGGGCCTGTAGGCACCCGGCATAGGAAAGGCCGAGAAAGGGGTCCAGTCCCACAGCCCTCCACCCCAGCAAATTCCCAGGTGCTGGGTCCCTGCAATGCACGCGATAAAAACTCCCGGGTCAAATACACAGAGGTGACCCTGCCGAGGTCACTCGATCCTAACAGTGGGTCGTGGTCCTCGGACATGGGAGGCCACGTCCTGCTTTCTGAGGCCTCAGACCCTGGTGAGGCACAGAAGGACTGTCCAGGGTGCACCCAGAATTTTTTTCACGGACGTCTGCCCAGGAGGCTTCTGAGAGCTGTTTCTCGAGGGAATGGATAGATGAGGAAAGAGAGAGGGTTGATGTAGACCTACGGTTGGGCCACAGGCCCCCCTGGCCCAGGTCCCTTAGCTGCCATCTCCCAGGATGCAGAAGCATCACTGCAGGGCCCGCCGGTAGAGGGAATGGGCAGGCGTGATCCTGGTGGGTTCTGGAGCTCTCCGATTCCACGGCTCAGCCTCAACGTTCCGACTCAGGTAGGAAGTATCAGAGCTTCACGCAAAGCTGCGAAGACCAGCTCCTTCCCACGAGTGGGTGGGTGGGATGATGCTGTGGCCCCTTCCTGGGTCTAACCCCGTGACATGCTCACTGGGAAGCAGTCCCTTCCCAGACATCCAGGGACAAACACACCCAAGGCCCTTTCCTTGCAGACCCTCCCAGAGGACCAGGGGGAGGGCCACACACCATGACCAGCTGGGATCCTTTTGGTTCATAATCGGCCTCTCGGGGTCTGGTGGTACAAGGGGCAGTGTACCAGTGGCTGGGAACACCCCCAGACAGCCTTGACCACCTCAGCCTGCATCCTCTAGGAGCCTGATACCTCCTGACACCAGGAACCCCGTCTACAGGGGACGTCTCACCTGTAGGTGGCCTCGCTGGGCCAGGACAGGGGTCAGCAGAGGTGCCCAGGAGCACCCAATGTCTCTGGGGCATGAACCTCCTCAAGGGAACAGCTTGGGGAACCACAGCCCCAGGGTGGAAAGGGCCAGGCTCCTTTCCCAAGACAGATTAGCTTCTTCCGAGAATACTGGCCAGCAAGCATTCTTACTCTAGTTTTGTTTTGTTTTAATTAGCAGACTTAATGTTTTAGGTTTACAGAAACACCAAGCAGATGGTAGAGGTCCCCCACACCCCCTCTCCCTGACCCAGTTTCTCTTATGATTACCTTCTCTCATTAGGGTGTAGGCGTGTGACAGTCAAAGAACCAATATTGATCCGTTATTATTACAAATGTCTCAAGCCTCCATCAGGATTCACTCTTGTGCTGTATTTTCTACGGGTTTTGAAAAGTACACGTGGGTCCCATACTCACCATCGTACGATCCCAGTCTTAGGACAGCCCGCTGGGCACAGGAGGCTGGGCATCCTGCCAGGTGGCAGATCTCTGCCCCAGCCTAGGCTGGAACCAGCTGCCTGCTGACCAGAGGTGGCCTCTCCCCTTCGGTCTAGCAGCCACCAGGGGCTCTGAGACCCTGAGCAGGTCACGGCAGGTCCTGAGTTCCCCATGTCCGCATCTATAACTCAAGAGATCCCAGCACTGCCCTGCCTCTTCCGTGGTGTGATGATCTGGACCCTGATAGGCCATGTGGCCCTTCAAGGGTGGACCGGGCCTGGGGGGGCTGCTATCTTATGCTTGGTGGGCATGGAAAGCAGTTGCTGCGCACAGGTGTGAAGCCGCAGGTCCCTTTCCACAGCAGGTCCCTTTCCACAGCAGGTCCCTTTCCACTGGGCACCCTGGTACCTGCAGTGATGGGGGTGGGGGGAGGTGCACTCCTAGAGCAGACGGGGGTGGGTGGGGCAGTCTCCAAGCTCCGAAATGCACCTCCACCAGACCTTGAGCCTCAGGGTGATGTCACTTGATGTGCTGGGCAAGGTCCTGGCTCCAGGCTTTCGATGGGGTGGGTGCTCTGAACAGATCCTTACAATGAAACTACCTTCAGTGGTCACTGTCATCGCCTTCCAGTTCTTCAGACCCTCACCCTTGTCCCAGCTTTCCTGGGCTGGGGGCTGGGCTCCACCTGCCTTTGCCGGTGACTTCCGTCCCTGCAGACTCACAATTTTCAAAGCCCTCTCCCCGCCTCCTCTGGTAGTCACAACCCAGTTATTCAGACTTGCACAGGTCGTTCGCAAGTCCTCCTGGAAGGTATCTTGGCTGGAAAAGGGGACAAGGCCAAGCTTCCCCACCGCTGGATGCTGCACTCGGCTCTGGAACTGACACCAGGCGTCTCGGGCAGGGCCACTGACCCGCAGCACACAGAAGCCAGCTTTGCCATCGCAGCGGGGACCGCCGGGCGGGCCAGCTCCGCCCTCTCCTGCCTGGGGGGCCCTCGGCACCCTCTGGCTCCCCTTCTCTGGCCTGAGTCTCTAGGGCCTCCCCAGTCCGGGCGGGGGTCTCCGCTGTCCCCCCCACTGGGTCAGGCACGTGGTGGCCGCGGTGACCACCTGGGGAAGGCGCCGACTCCGAGGAACACACTCGAGCAGGACGCTCCGCAGGTGATTCTGCCCCGCGGGCACGGGGTGGGGGCGGGATTTGGCCAAATCTGCAGAGAGTTTAGGTTGTCAAAGCTGGGGCGGGGGTTGCTACTGATACCCAGAGTGCGGGGGCCAGGGTGCTGCCAACATCCCACCATGCGCAGGACGTCCCCACCCCAAGAACCACCCGGCCCCGCGTATCCGGAGCGAGGAGTGGGCAGCGCTCGGCAGAGGCCCCGGCGCGGCGGCTGCACGTCCTCCGGGAGGAGGGAGGGAAGCCGGGCTCACCGCCGGGCCTCCCCCCCGGTCAGGAGGGAGCCGGGAACTCCCGAGGCACCAACTCTGCGGAACGCGGGGCGCCCGGATCGCCCCTGATCACCGCCCGCTGGCGAGGCGCGGGGGACCCAGAACCGGCGGGGCCGGGAGCCTCCTTTACCGCTCCGCGCCGGGGCTGCCCGCAGGATGGGGCGCAGGATGGGGCGCAGGATGCGGCCCCGGCACCGCCTCGCGGGGGTCTGCGGGGGGCGACCGCGGCTCGCGTCGGCCACTACTTGGGGGTCTCGGGTTTCCGCCCCGCCCTCGCCTTGCAACCCCTCCGGCCCCGGACTCCGCTTTCCAGGCCGGGCTCTTCCCTCCGGACCCCGCTCGCCGCCCGGCGCGGCCCCCTCCTCCTGCAGCGCCCCCCGCCCCGGCGCCCGCGCCCCCGATTCGCTGCTGACTCGGTGTCTGCGCGTCCGGCCGGGCGCCCCGGGAGGAGTTTCCGGCGCGGGGCGGGGTCGGGGCGGGGTCGGGGGCGGGGTCGGGGGCGGGGCGGGGCGGCGGGTGGGCCCCACCCCCCAGCTGAGCCCGGCCGGGCGGACTCGGACTCGCCAACTTCAGAGGCTCGGCGGCGGCGGCGGGCGCGGAGCTCTGCGCGCGGCTCCAGCGGGCCGGGATGGGCGGGCGGCCGCGCGGAGGACGCGGGGGGCGCGCGACGTGACCACCCGGACTCGAAGCCGCCCCGCCCCCGCCCGGCTCGCCGGCTCCGGGGTCTGCTCCGGGGGTCGCGGACGCGGGGCCGGGCGGCGGAGCCGGCGCCAGAGCATGCGGGGCGCGGCGCGGGCGGCCTGGGGGCGCGCGGGGCAGCCGTGGCCGCGACCCCCCGCCCCGGGCCCGCCCCCGCCGCCGCTCCCGCTGCTGCTCCTGCTCCTGGCCGGGCTGCTGGGCGGCGCGGGCGCGCAGTACTCCAGCGACCGGTGCAGCTGGAAGGGGAGGTGAGTGTGCGCGGCGCGACCCCGGCCCGGCCCCCTCCCCTCGCGTCCCCTCCCGTCCCGGGCCGGCCGAGCGTGCGGGGGCGCGGCCGGGGGCGGGCGCGGGGCAGGGGCTCCGGGGGCCGCTCTCCAGGCCCAGTCCGGTGCCCGCTGTCCCCCGCCCCCGGTTCTAGAACAAAAGAGCCCGCGGCGTCCCGGTTCCCGGCCCGGAGGACGCCCGGGGGAGGCGCGCCTGCAGCGCGGCCGGGTGGGTCCCGGCTCCGCGCGTGTCCGAGCCTCGGGGGCCGCCGGTCCCGCGACCCCATCCCGGGGGCAGGCGGGGGTCGGTCCTCGGGCCCTTCCTGGCAGGCTCCGGGAGTTGCGCGCCCCGAGGCCGCCCCGGGCCAGAGCGGGAAGGGACGGCCGCGGGAGGGAGCGGCGGTTTCGGGGATCGGGCGCGGACCGCAGCGGGGGCCACTTCCGTCTCGGGGAGCCGCGGGCGGGCACCTGTGAGCCGGGCCGAGTGTGGCTCCGGCCGGGCCCCCCGCCCCTGCCCCGTGAAGGTCAGGCCGCCCTTGGCCGCGGCGCGCGCTGCGCTGGGCGACCCCCCCCCCCCCACCCGCGGTGGCGGCCGAGGACTTTTTTTTTTTTTTTTTTTTTTGACTCAAGCGTGGCCGCCGAGAGCGGCGCCGACCGCGACTGCCCCTCGGGAGCCGCCGCCGCTCCCACGCGAAGCCCAGGGCGCCGAGGGCACCGCGGCCGAACCCGCCCTGCGCGAGCCTCGCAGTCGCCAGTTCCGGGGTTCGCAGATGCGCGGGGACCCGAGTGACGCGCGCCTCCCGGAGAGCCGTGGCCGGGCTGGCCCGGGCCTGGGTCCCGCTTCCCCTCGGCGCAGCCCCCGCCCCCGCCCCCGCCCCCGCCGCGGGCCGAGTCACGCGGTGATGTCGAGCGAAGCTGTTTTCCGAGAAGGTCGGGGCAGAGCCGGTGCGGGGCGGGTGGTGTCCGCGGGGCGGGCGCAGGTCTCCCCGCAGCCGCAGCCTCCGTTCCGGGTCCCCGCGAAGCCACAGTCGCCCCCCAGCGCCCCCGGCGGAGCCTCCCCGGGGGAAGGGGCGTGGCGCTGGGGGGCAGAGTCGCCCCGAGGGCCGTGGGCGGTGCCCGGCTGTCCCGGGAGCGGCCGCCTCCCTTCTCGGCCGAGCGGGGCCGCGGGCGGATGGAGGTCTGGGGGGGGTCGGCCGGGAACGCCGGCGCCGGGAGCCTCCGAGGCCGACGGCTCTTCTGGGGCCGCCCCTGCCCCCGCGGAGTGATTCAGCCCCGGCTCGCTGCCTCTGCCCGGCGGGTCGGTGCATCCCCGAACCGAGGCCCGGGGCGTTCCGCTCCAGCAGACCGAAGCCAGAAACGCCGCCCCCGCCACCCAGGCCGAGTGTGTCGAGAAGGGGCCGGCGCCCTTTTCAGGGTGTCAGGGGACTGTGTGCCCGGTAGGAGGGGGCGCCTCCCGGAGCCCGAAGGGAGGGCGCGGTAGGCAGCCGAGGGTGGCGGGGAGGCCACCCCTCCACCTCCAGGGGCGGGCGGCTCCTCCAGGCAGGTGACAGCAGCGGGACAGGAGTGCTTTGCCCTCCAGGACCTGCGCACCCTCCTGTCTACCTGGAGGCCCTCTTCGCCATCGTTGCCAGTCCTGGCCTCAGACTCCCCAGAGGGGACCCCCCCCCACACACACACAGGGGACCCCCCCCAACACACACACACCTGCAGAGCCTGGCAGAGGGCAGCTGTGGGGGCTGCTGGAGCTGCGGGTGTGATCTGGAGGGGACACGGGGCCCGGCTGTGTTTCTGGGGCGTAAGTGAGACTTCCTTTTGTTGTGGTCACTGCCCCGTTGATCCACACACGTCACGAATCAGTGACAGAGACTCGCTGTGGAAACCGGAGTGCGCTGGCCTGCCTGCTACCCTCCGGTGTTTGTGACTTTTTACCAGCTGTCCTGACGAAGCACAGGGTGGAGCGAGCGCTGGTGTGCTGGGTGGATTCTCATCCCCCGATAGCTGGAAAGTTGCCCCTCATGACACTGGCCACTGCATCGACGGCCTCTGTTGCTGGGTGTTTCTTCTAAGCAGTTAAGTAGGAGATGATGAAACCTCCCTTCCGTGGGGGGAGGCGGGACCAGCGCCCCGTCTTTATCAGCCAGTGCTCATAAATGTGGACCATGAACTTTCCCACTTGCTGTCAGCCCGGGCATCGCAGGTGCGGTCACACCTGGTTCGTCTCTCCTGCAAGGTGGGGAAAGGAAAGTTAACCTGCCAGTGGGTTCGAAGCCCTTCCTGACTTTCATACAGGAGCCGGGCATTTTGTCCTGGTGACACAGAGTTGTGGTGTGTGGGCTGGTGCCTCAACAACCCTCCAGTGCACCTGCGCCCCCCTTCAGTGAGTCCCTTTATCCACTTGGGATTTGCCCTCCTTTCCATGAAGGTGCCCCACAAGCATGTCCACCTGGGTGGTAACCCTTGCTGACTTTTAAAAGTGTATCTGTTCAGTCTGTTGATCCAACATCAGATCAGCCTTGTCAGTTTCCTAAAGTTGAACGAACCACGGTTTTGTCTGCACGCTTCAGTTTTATCACAGCAGAACTGTGTCACCTGCATCTCACGTGAAAATCACAAAATGCCCTCATCCATGACCATTAAAGATAGGTCACATTTTTGCAATGCCAGCAATTTTGCATAAACAGACTCTGTTTTCAGGTTTGCTGAGGTGCTGGATATTTGGAGGTGAGAGATTTGAGGCACTCGATTTTCTGGTAGGAACCAGCACAGACCATGAGTCTCGGACTTCGTGCCGAGGTCTGCTGGGTCCCAGGCTGAAGGATGCATCGTTTAACTTTTTTTGTCTACACGGGTCTTGCGCATCATGTGCTACTGATTTTAATGTGAAAATCCCTACGTCAGCGGGTCTGGTTGGAGTCCCGTTGGTCTGGATGTTTCGGGAGAATGTGAGAGGAGAGGGGAGCAGGCCCTGCGCTGGGTGCAGACCCGTCTGAGTGCGCTGAGAAGACGTCAGGTGAAGGCCGGGGTAGCCGGGTGTCTTCTTTCTTCTGTGTCCACCTTCATTTTGTCCTCTTCCTCTTTTTGCCCAGTGTCTTCTGAGTGGGTGGAGCCAGGCGTGCCCACCAGATGCGGGTAGCATGTGCTAGGCCAGGACGGCCCCCAGGCTCAAGTCGGCCTCCTCCTGGGCAGAGGTGGGTTGGCCGCCTGTCCCCAGCTGAGTTGTGGCTGTTCCCCTCGCCTGCTCAGATGAAGGCAGTGCTGTCAGAGGTGACCAGAGCCCGCTCCCTCGACCTTCAGGACTCCCCGAGAGGGAGGCAACGTGTCAGGACGGTGTATGTGGAGAGAGGGTCGAGGCTCGGTGCCTGAGCACGGGCAGGAGGACAGTGGCCTCGATGCCAGAGACGGGAGGGAGAGACGTGACGATGAGGCTGCATAAGAAGAGAGCTGACTGTAGCTGAGTGTGTCAGCCACTCACCGAGTCCAGTTTCCACACAGCACGATCATCGTGCCCTTGCCCACACACGTGTTAGATGAGCTTGTGTGAGCTTTATGGGCTGTAATTTGTGAGTCTGTTCTGGGTGTGTGATCCTGGCAGCCGGCTAGGCCTGGCCACTCGTGACCTGGGGCCTTGTCGGGGTGGGGAGAGGGTGAGGAGGGGTGCACCCTCGACACCACCCTCTGATGTGGCCTGCAGCCTATGAAGAGTGAGGTTTGGGGGCCCAGAGTGTGAGTCACCAGCGGTAAATGCAAACCATATGTGATGCATTTTCTCTGCTGCAGAAAGGGTTTCTGGTGACTCGCTCAGGCCAGGGCTCTGGAAACAGCATTGCTTATTTCACATAAAAATCCTAAGAATGTGGGTGAACCTGTCTGAGATCTGCGTAGTAAAACACTTAGTTGAAGTCACCGGGTTAGTTCCAGGCCCACTTGGTTATGACGTGGCTGTTAGCCACGAGCTGGCATTTACGTTAAAGTGTTGAGAAGCGTGAGGGTTTTGATGTTTCAGTTTCTTGAAAATATAACTGTTTCTACTCAGGACCTGCCTCTCCAAGAGTGTAGCACGCTTCATTTTTTTCTGTTTAGCATGTATGAGGGTGAACTTAGCTTGCTACTCACACACTACTCACCCTGTGGAGGAAGTTCGCCTCGCTTTTGTGGTGAGTCTTGCTGTAATGATAGCTTATATTTACAAATACCGTCGGCAGTGCAGGGTCTTCAGGCTTGCAGAAAACGGTCAAGTCATTACTTTGAGAAATGTACAAACATCTATGCTTAATGAGGTGCTAAAAGACAAAACTCATCTACAACCTCCTTCCCCCCAAACTGCCAACACTCTGGATTAACTTAAAAGCTGCTCTCTGGGCAGGTTGCATCCCAGGGCTCCTCCTTCACACGTGGTGGGGCCCCACCTTCGCTTTACCTCTAGCGTCCCAGCCCTCGTGGTCATCTGGAACCAGGGTTGGTACACAGGGCCTGCTGGCATTCCTGTGATACTCCGTGATATTCTGGAGGAATCCATCCCTTCCCTGGGGCTCCATCCCACTGCCCCAGCACCTCCAGCCACCCTGATTCAGGGACATCGCAGAGATTGGTGTTTGACGCTACGGCAGCAGAGGCGCAGACTCTTGAGTGTTGGAGGGTGTCTGGAGGGCCTGGGGACAAGCACCGCCTGCACTCCCGGGAGCTCGGCCCCGCCCCACCATGGCTCTTGGTGCAGGTGCACTGGAAGGAACTGGGTGGGGCCCTTGTGCCGAAGGGCGGAGATGGCGCCGGCCTGCCTCACGGGCAGGGGTCCGTGTGGCACCTGTGGCCGGCAGCGGGTGGGTCCAGGAGCCGCCATCATTTGGAGCGGGTATCGTCCTCACTGACTCTCTGTGGGTGCGGGTGGGGTGTGTGACGGGAGCTCCGGGCCTGGCTGACAGTGTCTCTCCTCTGCAGCGGGCTGACGCACGAGGCACACAGGAAGGAGGTGGAGCAGGTGTATCTGCGCTGTGCGGCGGGTGCCGTGGAGTGGATGTACCCAACAGGTGCTCTCATCGTTAACCTGCGGCCCAACACCTTCTCGCCTGCCCGGCACCTGACCGTGTGCATCAGGTCCTTCACGGACTCCTCGGGGGCCAATATTTATTTGGAAAAAACTGGAGAACTGAGACTGCTGGTACCGGACGGGGACGGCAGGCCCGGCCGGGTGCAGTGTTTTGGCCTGGAGCAGGGCGGCCTGTTCGTGGAGGCCACGCCGCAGCAGGATATCGGCCGGAGGACCACAGGCTTCCAGTACGAGCTGGTTAGGAGGCACAGGGCGTCGGACCTGCACGAGCTGTCTGGTGAGTGTCCTGCCTGGGGCGGGGGCGGCGGGCCTCGTCATCACGGGGCTGGTGATGTGGCAGGTGTCTCTGATTTCTTCCTGTCCCCTCGTCTGCTCAGCCTTGGTGAAAACCCTTCTGTGTCTGTGCTTCGGACATGACTGTTTTGCCTGAAGAGCCCCCCAGGTGGCTGGGGTTGGGGGACACTGGCGCCCGCAGAGGGGCCCTCCTAGGGGGTGTGACATGGTGTAGGGGGGTGTGGGATGTCTAAACTAAACCATCTTGGAAATGCAGCCTTTCCAACTAAAACCACCTTTGAAAAGACTGGCCCATCTGGGTTAGTGTTTCGGGCGGCATGGCCTTGGCCGAGCGGGGCCTCTCTCCCTGGAGGTGTGTCTGGGGAGCATGGTGAGCATCCCCCTGTGGCGGCCGGGCCAGTGCTGGGTCGGACGCGCCCCCATGCTTGTGGATCGTGTAGCACCTTTGAAACGGGTGCTTTTGCCATTCAAACTGCCCTGGGAATTGGCTGGGTGTCTGTGGTGTCGGCTAAAGACCCTGAAACGTCCATTTTTGGGTGGGAGCTGAGGCTGGCTCAGCCCTGAGCGGTGCTGAGCTGTGACGCCCAGAACATGGGGCCACCCCCGTCCCAGAGGGGTCTTGTGGGTACGATAAACAGACAGCTTCCCTGTGTGGCCGGCAGGGAGTGGAGGTGTCACGTGGCGTCTCTGGACGCCTGTGCTTGGGGGAGAGGTCCTTCGTGGAGGGCTGTGTTGGTCTCTAGAAAATTCTGTGGGTAGACACCAGGAGGCATGAGGTCCTGGGAGGCACCTGTGGGCCGTGTGACCTCCATGGTCTGTGTGGCCTCGGACTCGGGTGTACAGACTTCTATCCTGAATGGGAATCCACATTTTTGTGTTCTATGTTCTTGGCCTAGATTACTTTTCATCTCTCTCTGAAATCTCTCCCAGGTAGACTGGTCATTTACAGAGTGAGTGTAGGACCGTCTGCCTGGAGTCCTGACTGCCCCGAGTCCCAGCTGGCCCATGAGCTCAGACTGCCCCTTGGGCCTCAGCACCCGCAGGGCTGGACGCTGATGTAAACTCAGCTGTGCTGTGGTTGGTTGCACGCTGGATAAAACTTTAACCACGGCGGCCTTTATCTTGGTCACCAACAGTTATGGTGGGTGGGAGACCTGGGGGAGGGGGTACCAGCCTTGCTCTGGGGGCCCTGGAGAAAAACTCACAATGAGGCGAAACCTGGAGAAATCCAAGCTCCAAGTTCAGTCTTTCTAACCGGAGGTAGAAGGTGCCGGGCCAGATGTTAGGAACTTGCAAACATTCTTTCTGCTGATTAAAGTGGTGATTGGTCTTGAAGACGTTGGGCTGCGGGTCACATGCTCTGTGGCCTGAGCTTTGTTCTGCTTCTGGGTGAGATTCTTAGAGAGGCTGTGGTGTAGTCCGTCCCTGCCACGCACACCTGGACGTCCACACTGGCACAGGCCCGATTTCTACATTTCCAGGGGAAATTCAATGGTTCTAGTTGTCAGCTGGGGCGACCCTTACGGAGCCTGTGCCCTCACCTTTGGGAACAGAGACTTTGTCTCTCCTGCCTCTGGGGGTGGGGTCCGAGGCCTACAGGCCCTGTGTAGGCTGGGGCGGTGGGTGGGTTTGGGAGAGGCATGGGATGGTAGGGGCTGAGCTGCCTTGGGGTCCTGTGGGGTTGCAGGGAGGCAGCGGCCTCTTGTGAGGAGTGACTTGAGCCCCAAGGGACCAGAGCAGGCATTCGGCGGTGGGTCCTCGCTCACCCTCCGTGTGCCTCCTGGGCCTGTGGGGTCCTGCGCAGGTCTGTGGCCCCAGTACACGTCAGGCTGGCTTGGGGTCCCAGAACTTTGCTGTGTCCTGTGAGGCAGGTGCTTGGGTTTCCTTGTTTACACTTGGTGACCCTGCGGCATCTGCTTAAACCGAGCCTGAGGTGATTTCCAGTGCCCTGTGGGTGGTGGGTTGCTTATCCGAGGAAGCAGACATGCAGGGATCCTCGGAACTGACAGGGGCCCAGACTCTGAGGTTCACCGGGGGCCCCCGGAGCTGGGAGCCACGCCTGGCATCTCACGGGAACGGGCACAGATGCAGGCCCCTCCCTGGGCTGAGCACCTCCAGGGCCCTCACGAGAGGCCTCTCCTATCCTGATGGGGTGGAGGGGCAGGAGGGATCCGAGGAGGCTGATACCTCTCCTCTCCCCAGGGTATTCGCCTTTCATCAGGGGACGGGGGCCCCTAAGCCTTTAATGCTGCAGGAATGGGTACATAATGTGGAATGTCGGTGCCGGCCGTCTGGCAGCAGTGACGCCATCCCCTGGGCCAGGCCGGCTCCCCAGCACTCTCCGGCCAGCGCCGCGGTTTCCCTTGCCTCCCGTTCCTGCACTTGCTGTAGCTGCGAGAGCCGACGGAGGCTGAGCCGGGCAGCGCCAGCCCCGCCGAGCCTGAGCCTTTGGCCTGGCAGCACGACCCACGGGAGGTGGACGAGCTCGTCTGTGCGTCAGAAGTTCCAGTTTGTGCTGACTCAGGAGGACAGAGGCTCCGTGGGCTGGAACCCCGGACAGGAGAGGGTGTGTGAGCCCCGTCCCCTGCCCAGCCAGGAGGAAATCCCCCGCTCCGGTGGGTTTCGTCGGTGTGATCGTGGTGCGTTCATGCTGCATAATCGGCTTCCTTGAGTAAACTGAGACACGCCGATGACCAAGAGTTGGCCGGAACACGGGGGCAGGCTGCTCCTCCAGGGGTACACACTGGGGGCCAGGCGGGAGGGGACCCGGCCCCAGGACCTTGGGATTTGGCTGACTACGGGCAGGACCTCTCAGCCCTGCACCAGCCGCCTCTGCAGGCGACACGGACGCCTTCCTTGGATGCTGAGGAAACCCCGCAGGATGGGGGTGGCAGAGAGTGGTCAGGTGCAGCTTCCGGCCGTGCCCAGACCTGTGCCCAGCAGACCTGGCTGAGGCCGTGTGGGGCTGCTGTTTGCAGGCCAGGGAATCCGGGAAACGGGCACCGTTCAGTGGCTTGGGGAATGTGGGTGGGGGCTGTCTGGTTCTGGGGTACACAGACCCGAGACAGTCCAGGCAGGTCCCAGGATTCCAGTCTGTTCTTCAGCTTCTCCCAGGGCTGTGTGTCAGATGCTCCTGGCTTGGCCACATCTGTGCTTGGGGTTTGGGGTGCAGGCTCTGTGTAAGGTCCCCCAATGCAGGCCCCAGTGAGCAGGTGCCCAGGGCCGGGCAGCAGCATCGTGGACACAGGCAGTGGGAGGGGAGGGGATGCTGCCTTGATGCTGATCATGAGCACGTGGTGCCGTCCCTGGCTCTCCAGGACGCCGGAGTCCTGCAGCGTCTCAGGGGCCTCAACGCCTCCCCCCTTTAAAATCCTGCCCCTGGCTGAGCCCGTAGGTGAATGACCAGCTCGGCGGGCACAGAGCCCCTGCCGATGAGCCCCCTCCAGGAGCCTCAGAGTTTGGAGAAGTCCTTGATGGGTGGGAGGGATGGGTGGAAAAGTGTGGAAGATAATTCTCATTATTTCCTGGAAGTAGAGGAGAGGGGCTGATTTTTCCAAGGCGTCCCATCTCTCGTCCATCTTTGGCTTCCTGCTTGGTGCCTTCTCTCCGGCCACTGTAATTTTCATTTTAACCATCTCTGGGCTTGTGGAGAGGAAGGGTGTGGCCCCCGCCAGCTTCCTCACCAGGAAGAGGGAGGGAGAAAGGGAGGCAGGGGGAAGGGCAGGGGCTATATGGGGCCAACACCCCCGGGGCACCCCAGCAATGGACTGCAGCCTGGAGTGCGGCCGCAGCGCGACGGTGATGATGGTGGCCTTGAGGGGAGCCTTGGGAGCTCAGCCTTGGGTCCTCGAGCCCACTGGAGCCCACCCTCCACCCCTACCCACTGCTCCCTGTTCTTGGCTCCTCTGAAAGCACCTTATCCCCGTCACCGGCTCCTCTAAAAGCAGCGTGTCCCCCCGCTACCCCGTCACCACCTGTGTGGGAGACCCAGTAATCGTGGCCACAGAGGTTTCCCGTCGGAACTGTGTGAGTCCCTCTGGCTGTCCTTACCTGGGCAGTCCTGCCGGACCGGTCGGTGTCTGTCATTCTCAGCCTCTCCTCGGAACCAGCCGGTCCTGCCTCTCTACTTAACACCTGCCGTGCAATCTAAGTCCCCGCAGCAGCGTCCCCAACCCCACCCTGCCGGTCCCTCCCACCCTGTTCATGCTAGCTCCTGAGAGACCTGCCTGAGATGTCCACACCCCAGCCCTCCCCCTCCGAGGAGGATGGACCAGGATTCCAACCCTTTGCCGACCCTCCCCACCGCCCTGGAGACGAGGTGCAATGTGTCCGTGAGCAGCGCGTTCTGCAGCCTTTATGAGCCTGGCTCCTGTTAATAATTGTCTCCCGATTGTCTCCCGGCGTCCACCGGCGTCCACCCTGCATTCTCCGTGAAGGTGACTTCTGCTTTGTAAAGCTCAGAATCAGAACAGGGAGGTCTCCAGGGTGCTCCTTACGAGCTCAGCTGTCGTTGGGTCGTCTCCAGAGGCTTCTAGCAGGCGAGGCTGCAGGCACTGACCGTCCCCGGCCCCACACCCCTGCCGTCAGCCGGGTGAGCCAGGGCGGGGTACCCAGGGCACGTGAGGGCAGCGTCTCCATCCTCCCCCTCGGCCGTCCGCTGAGGTCGTGGGGCCGTGACTCACAGAGGGCGAAGTGCTAGGGCTTGCATACCCTCACGCGCCCAGGCCCCGGGGTGGGACGCATGTGGCTGGGCCTGTGGGCTCCCCTGCCCCAGGGTGGGAGCCACACACCCCCGCCCCGCCCCAGGGTGGGAGCCACACCCCCCCGCCCCGCCCCAGGGTGGGAGCCACACACCCCCGCCCCGCCCCAGGGTGGGAGCCACACCCCCCCGCCCCGCCCCAGGGTGGGAACCACACACCCCCGCCCTGCCCCAGGGTGGGAGCCACACACACCCCCGCCCTGCCCCAGGGTGGGAGCCACACACACACCCCCCACCCCCCGCCCCAGGGTGGGAACCACACACCCCCGCCCTGCCCCAGGGTGGGAGCCACACACACACCCCCCACCCCCCGCCCCAGGGTGGGAGCCACACACACACACCCCCCCCCACACACACCCCGCCCCACACACACACCCCCCGCCCCACACACACACACCCCGCCCCACACACACACCCCCCGCCCCACACACACACACACCCCCCCCCACACACACCCCGCCCCACACACACACCCCCCGCCCCACACACACACCCCCCGCCCCACACACACACACCCCGCCCCACACACACACCCCCCGCCCCACACACACACACACCCCCGCCCCACACACACACACCCCCCGCCCCACACACACACACCCCCGCCCCACACACACACACCCCCGCCCCGCCCCAGGGTGGGAGCCACACACACACCCCCCGCCCCACACACACCCCCGACTGTGCTGCTGACTGTGAGGATGGACTTCCGGCACCTCCTGCCTCCTGCCTTTGCAGGACCGCCTGGCCCAGCCCCAGCTGCCATGGCTGCCCAGCCGGAGGGTGCTGCTCAGTGAGGGGACCCTCGGGTGGACTGGGGTCACCACGCTTCTGTCGTTGACCAGCTCTCTCTCAGCCGAGGCCACCTCCACTCACATGAGGCGCCCTGGGCTGGGACCTCTGGCCCTGTGGTACGGGGCAGGTGCTGGCGTGCAGTCTCACCTGTGGAGGATAAAAGTGCTGCCTGAAATTTGAGATCCCCCAGTGCTCCCTCCTTGTTGCTTCCCGACGTGAGTGGTGGTCTGTGCTGCTGGCCTCTGTCCAGCACGTGCCTGCATCAGGCCCAGCATGGTCTGCAGACCCCCAGCCGGCGAGTGGGATGGGGGTCCACATAGGTGAACTAAGTGTCAAGGCTGGGCCACACCCCGGGGCCCCCATAGGAGAGCGCACCGGGCGGCTTCCAGCTTGGGGGTCAGGAGGCCCCCGTGGTGGGGGCTGCAGTGTGAGTCTGTACACATCAGCAGGAAGGGGATTTGGCCAGAAGCTCCCATTCTGGAGGGTTGCTGGGATGGCAGAGGTGCCCCCCCAGTGCCAGGCTGGACCGGCCTCAAGGTGCTCAGCAGTGCCAGGCTGGACCGGCCTCGAGGCGCCCCCAGTGCCAGGCTGGACCGGGCCTCGAGGCGCTCAGCAGGCTGTGCAGTTTCTTTTTCCTGATACCTTAATGGAAGCAAATGCAGGAGGAGGTGGGTGGGCCGGTGAGTCAGGCACTGAGCCCGGCTGGGAGGCGCCCTCACCCCTGCCTGGCGGAAAGTGCTGGCCTTGTCTCTGGGTCCCTCCTACCTCCACCCTGCGGGGTCCACAAAGACCTGCGCTTGCCCAGTGCACCGTAGACTCCAGGGTCTCCGTTGACCACATGTGCAGGCCCTGAGGGTCCATGTAAGTTCCTGACCCCAGAAGGCCTCTGAGCAGCTGTCCCCGCCTTGGCCAAGGTGCCAGATATGTGTGCTGCCCTGTCCCCCGGGGCCCCCAGTCACCAGCAGCTGGCTCGGGCCTGTACTCATCAGGCAGGTGACAGCTCAGCTCACTTCAGCCCAGCAAGGGCAGCCGGCCAGGGGTGCAGACGGCGTTAGCTTCTTCCAGGGCCGGCGAACCCCAAGTCAAGGTCGTCCCAGCTCTTGGCCAGGGACGTTTCAGAGCCTTCAGAACGTGAAATGGCACCGGCGAAACCAGTGCCATTGAGATTTCACGTCTCAAAGTTTCTATTGCGTTAGGAGACTTGGGGCCAAAACCTAGAGGCTCAGAACAGGTGAGGCCTTGAAACCTGCAATAAGAGCAAATAATAAAACCATGTTTTCCAAGTCCGTCCCGAGTGTAGGAATGCGGGGCGTGCAGAGGTTTCTGTTTCACAGTGGCCCGCCCATCTAAGAAACTGGGGCGAAGGGCAGGGCGAGGGCTGGGCCGAGGGGAGAAGGTTGTTGGGAAAGCCTGGTTTGGCCGGTACGGGAGCTCATTCTGAGAAGCCTCCGTGCTTTCCGCATTCTCTGGGGGAGGCCAGGCCCCGCAGGGTTCAGGGGCTTCAGAGGGGGTTCTGTGAGCAGGGCTTGGCTTGAAAGCCATTTGGGGCATGCACCTCATCCCGCGGCCAGGTGGCATCCGGGGAAGGGGCCGGGCCGATGGCCCTGACTGGAACTCACTGCCCTGCTGGGTGAGGCCCCACGCCGGTGGCAGGTGGACGCGTCGCTGCCTGCTTAGGGATCCCCTTCCTGGAATCTTGGCCTCGCTGGCCCTTCCAGCCACATGGGGGGTCCCGCGGGATGGGATCCTCCTTTTGGGTGCCGCTGCCGTCGCGACCCAGGGAAGTGGGCAGCAGAGCTGTGGGGAGTGTCTGCCCTTCGAGGAAGCTGGGAAATGAGGGTGGTCCCGGCGCCGTGGGCCGTGGAGGTGGGTTGGGGGCGACTCTGGGAGGTGGGGGTGCTCCTGGCGCCGTGGGCTGTGGAGGTGGGTTGGGGGCGACTCTGGGAGGTGGGGGTGCTCCCGGCGCCGTGGGCTGTGGAGGTGGGTTGGGGGCGACTCTGGGAGGTGGGGGTGCTCCCGGCGCCGTGGGCTGTGGAGGTGGGTTGGGGGTGACTCTTGTCTGGTGGGTTCGGTTCAGCCCCAGTGGGCTTTGCATTTGCAACAGGCACGTGAGCGATTTCTCAGTGAGTCCGGCTCAGCCGCACTGAGGAGATAAGTGGGGAAAGAGCACAAAGACCCCTCCCCACGAAGGCCCTGGGACATGGCCGGACTGAGGGTCTTGCTCTCGGACATGTGCCCATCATGGCCGAGGTGCAGGTGCCTTTGGTCCAGGTGGGGCCGAGGGGTCCCCTGGGTGAGACCCCGTCGTGGTCGAGGTTGTGTTTTCTGTCTCCCGTGCTGCCGGCCCCTCCAGCACGTGCCGCCAACTCACATTTGAAGTGGCGTTGGTCACAAAGGTGCCTTGACGTGGACACCCTCCCTGACTTGGCTTTGCTGAGTGTGAGGATCCTTTGACGGTGGTGGGCGGCGTTCCAGAGCCTGTCCCGTCCAGGCTGCTTCCTGACTCTGCCTTTCTTCTCCAGCGCCGTGCCGTCCCTGCAGTGACACCGAGGTGCTCCTAGCCGTCTGCACCAGCGACTTCGGTGAGTGTCTCCTCGGCAGCTTCTACCTCCTGTGCTCCTGGTTTCTGCCACATGGAGCTGTTTGGGCCCAGGAGTCCCTCTTCAGGGCCCAGGACAGCCTTCCGGTGCTGCGTGGACCCTCCTGGAGGGGCACACGCTGTGGAAGCCCTGGGCTCGGCCCTCCACCAGCCCTGGGGACAGGGACGCCACCGCCCACACTTGGAGGGAGCTGGGGGTTGTTTTGGTGACTGTCAAACATTTTCCCATTTTGTAAATGAGATCACTGCTCTTCGAGGGGACTCTTGAAGTCCACTGTCTCCCAGCAGCTCTTCTTGCTGAAGTGCTTTGTAAACAGCATTTTATCAGCAGCCCAGAGCATCCTTGGCGTTGGACACTCCTTGCCCCCCACCAGAGTTCACGCTGTTCCAGGCCTGAGGCCCCCGGCGGCTCTGCGGCTCTGCAGGAGGAGCTTTGGGGTCCCAGGGCTCCAGCCCCTTTGCTTGTGGCGTTTGCACAGACGCCCTGTGGGAAAGGTTTGGCCTCCCGTCGTGTGGTGCCGTGGAAGCCATGTCCTGCAGGCCCCGGCTCTGCACCCCACCTCCAAGCTCAAGGACAGGCCCCTTCTCACTGCTTTCCCGGCCCCTGGCATGGAGTTGGGGCTGGGCAGGGGTCTCCAAGTGTGGCGCGAAGGCTGTCCCCATGCCCACCCTCTCCTGTGAGCTGCACCGGGTCTGTCTGATCAGGACACAGAACTGCAGGGGCACCCTGTGTATCAGCTGGACTTGTTTGTTCTGTTTTCCCATTTAACAGGTCTGGCCCTTGGTAGAAAGGGCACCTGTTCTCTGACGATGTCTAAGTATCTGGGACACCCCTTGGCAGCTTTCTGCTGTTACATTGTACTTTTCTCTGGGAATTTCCACGCTAGATGGCAGAGTCGGGGGTCAGCTGCCCGTTCCAGTGCCCATCGATGCGGGGGCAGGGGGAGGTGCGGTGGTCTTGCTGTGTGCTTGCCTTTGCTCACTCCCTGTCCCCATCTCCTTCCCCGCACAGCCGTTCGAGGCTCCATCCAGCAAGTTACCCACGAGCCTGAGCGGCAGGACTCAGCCATCCACCTGCGCGTGAGCAGACTCTATCGGCAGAAAAGCAGGGTCTTCGAGCCGGTGCCCGAGGGTGACGGCCACTGGCAGGGGCGCGTCAGGACGCTGCTGGAGTGTGGCGTGCGGCCGGGGCATGGCGACTTCCTCTTCACTGGCCACATGCACTTCGGGGAGGCGCGGCTCGGCTGTGCCCCACGCTTCAAGGACTTCCAGAGGATGTACAGGGATGCCCAGGAGAGGGGGCTGAACCCTTGTGAGGTTGGCACGGACTGACTCCGTGGGCCGCTGCCCTTCCTCTCCTGATGAGTCACAGGCTGCGGTGGGCGCTGCGGTCCTGGTGGGGCCGTGCGGTGAGGGCCGCGCGCTGGGAGCCGCATGCCCTGGGCCCAGGCCTGACCCTGGTACCGAAGCTGTGGACGTTCTCGCCACACTCAACCCCATGAGCTTCCAGCCAAGGATGCCCTGGCCGATTGGAAATGCTGTAAAATGCAAACTAAGTTATTATATTTTTTTTTGGTAAAAAAGAAATGTCCATAGGAAACAAATTCCCGTGTCTTAAAACGCCTTGGTGTGCCGTCTGATACTGTTCTCTAAAGACGTTAGGAGTCACGGCATCTGGCCTGCGGTTGGGTGAAGCACTGGCCGTTGGGCACAGTGGATGTGTGAAAAGGTGCCATTCAGAGTTGTTATTCTCATGACGGAAGTTTTGGAGCCAAATAATACGTTTTTTATTTTCATTTTATTTTTAAAGGATGAGCTTTGGTCCTTTTCAGGCCGCCGGTTGTTTCCGTTCCCGAGAATAAAGACGAGGATCCGACCAGCCAGAAGCCGGAGTCTGTCTTTCGCCAGGTCCGGTGCCCACGGCCCGTGTTCAGGGCCTCGCTGGACGTACCCCAGGGCGCCACCCTGCCTCGGCAGACACGCTTGCTCCGCCCGGCGACTGTCCCTCAGCGCCTGCTGCTGCATTTCCATTAATGCAGGTCCTGCCCTGTGGCCCCAGCCTGCCCACAGTGCAGGGGCCCACAGCTAGTCTCTAGACGCCCAGGAGCTGGTCTGAACCCAGGTTGGTGACCCCATGTCCCCAAAGGATGCGGCTACCAGAACAAATCACCACCGACTGCGGGGCTGAAACAACCTCGTTCTCTGAGTTCCTGAGGCCACAATCCAAAGTCACGGTGTGGGCAGAGCCTCTCCCTCCAGGGCTCCAGGGGAGAACGCTTCATCTTCTCCTCAGCCTCCAGGGGTTCCAGGGAGGACCCTTCGTCTTCTCCTCAGCCGGGGGCGACCCTTCGTCTTCTCCTCAGCCGGGGGCGACCCTTCGTCTTCTCCTCAGCTGGGGGGGACCCTTCGTCTTCTCCTCAGCCAGGGGGGGACCCTTCATCTTCTCCTCAGCCTCCGGGGGTTCCAGGGAGGACCCTTTGTCTTCTCCTCAGCCTCCGGGGGTTCCTGGGAGGATCTTCATCTTCTCCTCAGCCAGGGGAGGAACCTTCATCTTCTCAGCCAGGGGGAGGACCCTTCATCTTCTCCTCTGCCAGGGGAGGACTCTTCATCTTCTCCTTGGCCTCTGGGGGCTCCAGGTGCTCCTTGATGGTGGCTGCATCACTCCAGTCTCTGCCTCCGTGGCCACACGGCTTCTCCCTGTGTCTGTGTCCAGATCTTTCTCTAGGACATTGGTCACTGGATTGGGGCCCACACCAGTGACCTCGTCTTAAACCGATTACGTCCGCAAAGACCCCATTTCCAAATAAGGTCACACTCAGCGGTTCCTGGTGGACATGAAATTTGGGGTACACCATGCCCCAGCACAGGGGGTCCCTGGGAGTGTCAGTTAACCAGACCCCAGCCTGCATCCCCATTGATGAATCAGGCAGTTCCTCCCGTGCAGCCGCTAAGAGCAAAGGGGACCTGGGAGAGGGTGATGTGGTCAGTGGGCACCATGCCGGCCTTGCCAAATGCTCAGGCACTCTGGGTAAGCACTGTGTACCGGCTCAGATGTTCACTGGCTCAGGTGTGCACCGGCTCAGATGTTCACCGGCTCAGGTGTTCACTGGCTCAGGTGTGTACTGGCTCAGGTGTGCACTGGCTCAGGTGTGTACCGTGCACTGGCTCAGGTGTGCACCGGCTCAGGTGTGTACCGGCTCAGGTGTGCACCGGCTCAGCTGTGCACCGGCTCAGCTGTTCACTGGCTCAGGTGTGTACCGGCTCAGGTGTGCACTGGCTCAGGTGTGTACCGTGCACTGGCTCAGGCGTTCACTGGCTCAGGTGTGTACCGGCTCAGGTGTGCACCGGCTCAGCTGTGCACCGGCTCAGGTGTGCACCGGCTCAGGTGTTCACCGGCTCAGGTGTGCACCAGCTCAGGTGTGTACCGTGCACTGGCTCAGGTGTGCACCAGCTCAGGTGTTCACTGGCTTAGGTGTGCACCGGCTCAGATGTGTACCAGCTCAGGTGTGCACCGGCTCAGGTGTGTACCGGCTCAGATGTGTGCCGGCTCAGGTGTGCACTGGCTCAGGTGTGCACCAGCTCAGATCTGAGCCAGCACAGGTCTGCAGGCTCCCACAGGTCACAACAAGAAGCAGGTGTTTCTGGGCGAGGACCTGAAGCAGCAGGCTGGGGCTGGGCCAGGTCCCACTGTGGCTGGTGGTCAGCACACCTTTGCCAGCAGGCGCCACAGCACAGGTGCCCAGCCCACAGCGGGGCGGCAGGGAATCTGCTCCTGGAACCTGGGTTTTCTGGGCTGGCTCCCGGGGGTGTTGACTGACAGGAGAAGGCTGCAGAACAAGAAGGTCGGGTTTCAGGCTGGCAGCCTCTCCTCAATTACAGGGATGCTGGGGTAGGCCAGAACCCGGTGTCAGGTGGAGTAGAAGTCACGCTTCACGGGAGGCTTCTGTTTTTTAAGAAGTGCCTGTGGGCTGGGGGGTTTTTGGTCCAGAGTCTAGGGGAAGGCAAAGCTTACCAAACAGAAAGTGTCCACTCCGGGGTGGGGGACTGGGGCCTCGTCTCTCCGCTGGGCCAGGACAGGGCTGTGAGGTCCAGCTGCCTGCTCAGCTCTGGGACCTGTCCTCCTGCAGGAGCCCACGGCCGTGAACATGCACACGGGCAGATCCACATGTCCCCCGAGGAAAAAGAGAGGGTCAAGGTTGAGTGTGTGGGTGCTAGGGGGTGCAGAACTCACTTCTAACTATGAGGGTTGAGGCGGGCTTCACAGGGGAGGTGGGTTTTGAGCCAGGCCTGCAGCCCGGCATCTGGAAGTGGCTTCCAGGCTCTCCCTGAGCTCTCTCCTGCAGGACACCCCTGCCTGCAGATCTGCACCCCCAGCTCCTTCCTGGGGACTTGATATCATGACCCTGCCTGGCACCCC
The DNA here is from genome assembly GCF_000001405.40 of Homo sapiens. NCBI lineage: Eukaryota > Metazoa > Chordata > Mammalia > Primates > Hominidae > Homo > Homo sapiens. The sequence continues at coordinate 5,917 of NT_187612.1, read as the reverse complement.
AGGGGTGAATGCTGCACCCAGCCCTGAGGGTTTCCATCTGCTGGGGGCATCTGACCTGGGCAGGCCAGGGTGGGTGGGAGGGAGTCCAGCGGGGGAGGTGCAGGGTGGCCAGGGGGAGACACTGCCCTGGCTGGAGCCTGGATTCACTAGGTCATCACCAATGCAGGGGGTCCTGGCTCACTGGACTTTGCTACTAGAGAAGGTTGGGGAGCTCCACATGAAGGCAAGAAGGCTGGGGCTCAGGGTGTAACTCATCCCCGGAGAGCAACCAGAAAGGCCGTCGGATTGCAACGCAGCCTGCATTGTCCTCGCTGAACGCCTGGTCCTGTCCCACCTGCACCGGACAGCAACTGCTTCCCCTCCAGGGCGGCCCCCATCGTCCCCCAGGTGCTGCAAGAGCAGTGAGACTTACCCAAGACAAGTCAGAGGCTTTGGAGCTCTCGGGGGCGGTGGCTTCTCCCAGGAGCCCCGTATCTGTCAGTCCCCCCATAAGGGGAGGGGAGTTGGCAAGGCTCCTCCTTGCTCCCAGCGTGAGGATTGCCCCTACTTTTCCGGCCCCCACTTGCCCCCTCCACCTGCCCTTTTCCCTCCGGGAAGCCCTGGAGGTTTTCCAAGAACTCTGCGGGTCGAGGGGGCAGCCTATGTGGGGTGGCGGGGGGCCTCCTGCTTGTTGGATGCCCAGACGCCTACACCTTTCACCCTGGGGTCCAGTCGGCTGATGGCCATGAGAGAGAAGCTGAGAGCAACCAGAGCCCACAGCTCCATGCTGGTCCCCCATCTGCAAACGCTGGGCCCCATGGGAGCTGTGACTCGGTTTCCAGCTCGTCACAGGGCTGGCCGAGGCCCCGGCATGTCAAGCCATCTCAGGTTGGGCAGGAATGTGGTCCGTGTTCACATGTGTCTCTGTGTGTGTGAGAGAGAGGGGTCAGCTGGGACGCTGGGGTGGCAGGGACAGTCCTGGCTCACCCCTCATCCTCCCTCGACCTCGACTCCCTCCACATGAGGAGCCCCCCCTTCCTGGCTATCCTGTGAGTTGAGCTTCCTCTGCTGGGAGGGCTTTGTCAGAGGTTCCCTGCGGTTCCAGAAGGAAAGCTGGCTGCAGGGAGGGCCGGGCACTGGACACCGTGTGGCTGAGCCTGTGGCGGGGGCTGCACAGCTGGGTTCCCAGCCCCCCTCCTTGTCCCCACCCCACCGCACTGGGAGGCCCTGCTGAGGGGCCAGAGTCCGGCTGCAGGTCCCACGGGTGGGGGTGGGGCCCCTCATTAGCACTGCAGCTGACACTGAGGGCTTCCACCTCGCTAATTGATTAAACTGTTTAGAAACCAGGCCGGCGTGGTGGGAATTGGCCCCGGCCGGGCTGTCCGCTCCCCTTCTGTGCAGGCAGCGGCCCCCGGAGTTCATCAGTCAGGCCGGTTGGTGGGGTCCCGGCCCTGGCTGCCCTCGGGAACCCTTCTTTGCTCCTTTGTGCGGTCAAAATGGTGAGGGTCCTGAGAGGAGCTGGTGAGACCCCGGGGTCCTCTCCTCCCTGACCACTCACTGGGCGAGCATGGAGGGAGGCCTACTGTGCACGGGCATGTTCCTGGGAACCTGCCTGCTGGGATTAAACCCGCCCTTGTGAAGGACGGCAGGTGGGTCACTCAATACCAGGAGGGGCACGGGGCTGTGAGCAGAGGCCCGAGAGCCTTCTGAGGCGGCACCGGGTGCTCCTGGGCCCTGCTCTCCTGGGATTTGTTGTGCCTGTGACCTCAGCCTCTTCCTTCCTCTCCTGTGGGATTCCCCCAACACCCCCTCCCCTCCTGCCATTCCTTCCCCCACCAGGCCCCATGCCTCCCCTCCCCAGTGCCCCCTACCCCCAGGTCTTCCCTCTAGGACATCAGCCTGGGCTGTGGGTCTTGGTCTCCCACAGAGACTGAGTCCTGGGAGAAGGGCAGAGCCTTGGTTCCCAGTGCAGCCCCTGTGCCAGCCTGCAGTGGGCACCGGTTCAGCCGGTGCACACTGGGTCCTGCCCCCACCTGAGGAGCGGCCTGGGGCCTGATCAGCCCTGCTGGTGTCTGGCCTGCAGCCAGCACCGGCTCTGCTATTCACACTTGGTTACAGGTGGGTGCCCATCCCAGCAGCCTCGGAGCAGAGTGGGTCGGGCTCCGGAGGTGGGGGCGGCCACTAACAGCAGGAGGTCGTGGCAGTGCGGCTATGGCAGGGGTTCTGAGGGGCGGAAGGCAGGGGCGGGACGTGGGGACGCAGACCTGCAGGGAGGACGCCGGCTCACCCAGCAGGGAGGGGATGGCCGCCCAGGGACCCCCAGCCTGCCCGCTCTGCTTCCCCGACCGCCGGGGCAGGGGCCCCACGGGGGACGCCAGGGAACGTGAGGAATCCGGAGTCAACACTGGGCCACTGTGTGCTGCCAGCCGGGCGGGCCGTGATTTATAAAGACAGCGGAGGCTTGGCTGGTGTCGGGGCGGTGAGGTCACGGCGGCCGGGGGCTCTGGAATTTCTTCAGAAGAATTTTGCTTACCAAGCCACATACTTTTCTAGCCATCAGTTTGATCAGAGGCAAGATGAAAAATATGCTAAAAAACAAAGAAACAAAAATACACCCGGGGGGCTCCGGTGAGGGGGAGGGGCGCTGCGGGAGGGGTGGAGGGCCCAGGGAAGGGTGAGGGGCCGGGAGCCACTCTGCCCGGCACTCTCCGCCCAGAAACAGCCCAACGCCCCTTTCTTTCCCCTTTTAGCACTGCTGAGCTGGACTAAAATGCCCAACAAGGAACTTTACTAAAAACTGAGGCAAGAAAGAAAACACACATGACATAAAAATAGTCAAGGGCACATTCTTGATGGTAGATAACTGGTCTCTGGCCACAGCGGCTGCCAGGTTGGGTGTCGGCCGGCGGGTCTGCCAGTCCCACCCATAGGCACTGCACTTCCCTGGGCCGGACAGGGGGTGTGGCGGGTCTGTGGGCGGGGGGACAAGGTTGGCAGGACCGTGAGGGGGGTGGTGGGTCTGTGGGAGGGGGACAAGGTTGGCAGGACCGTGAGGGGGGTGGCGGGTCTGTGGGCGGGGGGACAAGGTTGGCAGGACCGTGAGGGGGGTGGTGGGTCTGTGGGAGGGGGACAAGGGTGGCAGGACCGTGAGGGGGGTGGCGGGTCTGTGGGAGGGGGGACAAGGTTGGCAGGACCGTGAGGGGGGTGGCGGGTCTGTGGGCAGGTGGACAAGGGTGGCAGGACCTGTGAGATGATGTGAGTGCAGCACAGTGGGGCTCTGTAAGAAGCGACCCGGGCAGCTTGAGCAGGGGCAGGCTGGGCGGTGCCTACGGGTCTCTGTCCACCGGAGCCTCTGTTCAGCCCACCTCAGTGTCGCTCCGGATGTGGATAGAAGGAGACACTGTCTGGGCCACAGACCAGGTGCTTCCTTCGTCCTGACCACACCTGCTTCTGCCCAGGAGACGCTGCAGGGGCTGTGCTCCCCGCCCGGCTACTCTTGAGTGGTCCCCAGGCTCCTCCTCCTCCCGGTTCCACCTGGAGCCGTGGGGCTGTGCCGGGGATGCCTCGCTGCAGCTGCAGCTCAGGGAGAACTCACTGCTGGAGCTTCTGCCTCTCCCGTGCCGTGGGGCCGAGCCGAGCTCCACCAGGGTCTGGACTTCTGCACGGGCAGCTGTGCTTCCCAGGGTCGTGGAGAGGGGTCCTTGGTCCCAGCCACTGTGTGACCTCGACCAGGACACTTGACTTTCCTGCCCCCAGAGGGTCTTGTCTGGACCTCCAGAGCCCCCAGCCTTGCTCACTTGGCTCTGCTTCTGGGCAGGGTGCCCTGGCATTGCTGTTGCTGGCACCTGCCGTGCCTTGGAGGGGTCTCCAGTGGGACCTCTGAGCACGGCTCTTCCTGTACTTCTCAGAGGTGAGCAGAGGGCATTTGTGGGAGAACTGGAACCTGGGGAGGAAAAACCCCAAGGCTGGCAAAGACTCCCTGCAGTCTGTCCAGTGATCCACTGAGGCTGAGTGGTGGAGGACATGGAGGCCGGCCCGGGACCAGGACATGGAGGCCGGCCAGGGACCTGGGGAAGAGAGGGCCTCAGTCTGGTGAGACCAGCCTGGTGGGTGCCTGGGGAAGAGAGGGCCTCAGTCCTGTGAGACCAGCCTGGTGGGTGCCTGGGGAAGAGAGGCCCTCAGTCCGGTGAGGAGACCAGCCTGGTGGGTGCAGGCCACCCTTGCCTGCTGTCAGGGCCTGCCCTTCTCTCCGGCCTCCAGCTGCTTTGCCCCAGCGATCAGGCGCCTGAGCTTCCTCCCCCGAGCCTGAGTCCAGCTGAGCTCCGTGTGGCTTTCCCGGTGGAGCAGACTCTGTCTGATTTCCCAACGGCTGGCGCCTCCCAGGGCGTGCTCCTTGCCACGGAACAGCCCCTTGGGGCCAGGTGTGTACTCCAGGCAGTGGCCCGGCAGTGCTGGGAAGTGCCGGTCATGGCTGCTGCACGTGGGTTGCTGTCTGGGAGAGTCCTGTGGTGTTTGCTGAGGGCGGAGGACACCGAGGACAGAGAATGGGCAACTTCCAGGGAGGGCCCAGATGCAGCCACGACTGGGGTGCATCTGGGATACCTCGTCCAGGGACACTCCCCACCATGGCCTGGTGCCTGTCCAGCAGGAAGAGCTTCAGGGCAGTAGGAAGGGGGAGTGGCCCCAGCTGCAGAGGGAAGGAGCTTGGTGGCAGGGCGGCAGGAGGGATGGGAGGTCAGGCTGACGTCCACTGGCGAGAACACTTCAGATGAAGATAGTGTGGACCCCTGCCCAGTCCCAACACAGGCCCCAGACGCCCTGAAACCCCAGGGGCTCAGCCCAAAGCAAGGGCAGGAAGCATTGCTTTACTGAGAAACCATAAAAATGTAGAATTCCACCTCAAACGCTGCTGTGGCCGATACTGAAGGTTAGAAATGAGCCGGTGGGGCCCGACACGGTGGCTCACGCCTGTAATTCCACCACTTTGGGAGGCCGAGGCAGGCAGATCATGAGGTCAGGAGATCGAGACCATCCTGGCTAACATGGTGAAACCCCGTCTCTACTAAAAATACAAAAAGAAATTAGACGGGCCTGGTGGCGGGCACCTGTAGTCCCAGCTGCTTGGGAGGCTGAGGCAGGAGAATGGTGTGAACCCAGGAGGCGGGGCTTGCAGTGAGCTGAGATTGCACCACCGCACTCCAGCCTGGGTGATAGAGCAAGAAAAAAAAAAAAAGAAAGAAAAGAAATGAGCAGGTGGGTGCTTCCCAGGGGGGCCCCGTGGCCTGTCGGCCCCATGCATGATGGCCCTCAACTCAGCCACAGCTCCCAGGGCAGCTGTGGCTCCTTGGGTGGCCCAAGACAGCTGCTGCGTGGTGTGAGCTTCGCTCATGAGGCTGGGCAGAGGCTGGGATCCCAGGTGTGAAGATGGGCCTGGGTGGTGGCTGCTGGACCTTGTTGTCACAGATGTGCCACCTGCTTCCCAAAACCGAGCACCAGGGGTCTGAGAGGTTGCTATGGGAAGGTCGCTTGCTCCAGGGGGCCCTGGAACAGTTGCTAAGTTTAACGCCCTGGCCCAGGATCCACCTGTCCTGCTGCAGACCAGCCCTGCTCATTCCTCCCTCTGGCTGTGAAGATGGAAGCCCATGGGTTGGATGCCTCGGGCCAGGGCTGTCACGCAAGGAAGCCTGGGGAGGACTGTGGCACTGACCCCATGGGCCATGGTATCGCCTCAGGGCCCTGCCCCTCTGATGTCCGTCTCCTCGGGGCCCCGCCCCTCTGGATCTCGTCTCCTCAGGGCCCCGCCCCTCTGGATCTCGTCTCCTCGGCGCCCCGCCCCTCTGGATCCCTGTCTCCTCGGGGCCCCGCCCCTCTGGATCTCGTCTCCTCGGCGCCCCGCCCCTCTGGATCTCCGTCTCCTCGGCGCCCCACCCCTCTGATC